>NC_000004.12:180436532-180739562 GCF_000001405.40 Homo sapiens | reverse complement strand
AATTAAACATTGACCTCGGCCTCCAAACAAACACAAAAATTAATTCAGATAGATTATAGACATAAACACAAGAGCCAAAATTGTAAAGCTTCCTGAAAAAAGAGTATCTTTAAAATATTGGGGTAATCAAATATTTCTTATACAGAAATCAGAAAGCACTTAACATTGAATAAAAGCAATTAATAAACTAGATTCTAGCAACATGAAAACTTATGCTTATCAATAGATTATTTAAGAACATGAATATATAATTAATAAGTAGGATAAAATATTTTCTTTCTCTCTATCTGATAAATGATTTGTATAGAGAAAATCTAAAGAACTTTTACAATAAAATGGAAAAATGTCTTACCTCATTTGTCACTAGGGAAATGTAAATTAAAAGCACAAGTTACTACTTTCCCACTAGGATGGCTGAGATTGAAAACCCAAAATGGTGGAAAGGTTATGGAGCAAATGGAACCCTTGTACATTGGTGGATAGAGTGTACAATGGTAAAACCATTTTGATAATTGATTTGGTAGCTTCTTACAATGAAATTCTATTCCTAGATATTTATACAACGAAATGAAAACCTATGTCCATTAAAAAATGTGCCCATGAATGTCCAGAGTAGCTTTATCCATAATAGCTAAAAACTGAAAACAACCTAAGTGTCTATCAATAGGAAAACAAATAAATCATGATGTAACCATACAATGGGGTACTGCACAGTAAATAAAAGGGATGGACTATTGATACATGCAACAACACGAATGAATCTCAAAATCATTATCCGTTGATTCAGAAACAACTAGATATCCATCTTCAAGAAATTAAACATTGACCTCAGTCTCCAAACAAACACAAAATGAATGAATCTCAAAAATTATACTATTCTTCTTCCTCTTCCCTTCCTAAAGCTGCATTAGAATTAGAAGAAAAGAGCTACTGTGGCCCAGAGTGGGTTGCAAAGTCCAGGCAGGATGATGTGGGTGTTTGTGTGGGAGGGCTCCTCAACAAAGGCTGTCTGAGTGCCATGGATTTGACTTGGTGACCATATGGGTTTGGGGATAGGAGGGGCAGTACAGCACAGAGCGTCAGAGCTCCAGTGTGGTGAGCACAGCATTCTCAATGGTGCACAGCCCTTTTTCAGTTTGTTGGAGCCCAAGTCACTGTATAGGGTGGGCTGAAGCTGGAGCATGGGTAGGGGCAAGTGAATGTCTGCACATCTGGAAGGAGGATGGCTGTGAGGCTAGCAGACTGATTGCATATAAGGATATTGATCAAATAAGTGACTATACCAAGGATAGAGGCAGGCATTTTATGTCTGTGAAAGAAGCTAAAAGTATGGAAGGGTAGATATCTTGTAAGTCATGGTTTTCAAGTTCATAGAAAGATAAATACAAAAATAAAAATAAGTATATATTCCATAAATATATATAAAACATACATATTATAATATATTATATTCATTATAATATCTTACATAAATTTAATATATCTTATAAATGTATATATTACTAAATATACTAACATGAATACATTTTAATATATTATATATTATACTGAGATATCTATATTATAGATATACTTGTATATGTGCAAATATATAAAGGTTCTCTGGAAGCAGACACTAAGCCAGAGTTTGATATGCAAGATATTCATAAGGGATGAACACCTATAGAAGGCGGGGGTGGGGGTGGGCAAAGGGAAAAGTAATTTATTCTCAAGACTTGGCCAACTTTAAGGGGTGCTTTGAAGCACATATGGCCTTTCAGACCTACCCTGCAGTGGGCTCAAACATCAGGTCTTTTTATCCCGAGATGGGCAGTCATTAGATGTGTGTTTGTTCATGAAGAATATGGACTTGGGTGAGACAGGTCTGTGAAGCTAAGAATATTTTATTGATTTAAATTAAAAATATAGACCCTGTAGGGCCTGGGAGCTCATGTTTGCTGCTAAGTGTACTCCCAGCAGCTGAGAGAACTCACACAGTCCTTTCGTGAAGTCACTAGGGAGATACATTTTTAGACCCATCACATGCACACACACACACACACACACACACACACACACACACCATTTTCATGCTTTGTTCACCGAGTAGGCCTGGAAGCAATGACATGTCAGAAACCATGAAATAACTAGCCCTCATTCCTAGGCTTTCAAATACCTACCTGCATTAAAATAATTCAGGGTCAGGTGCAGTGGCTCACACTTGTAATACTATCGTTTTGGGAGGCAGAGGCAGTGAATTACTTGAGCCCAGGAGTTCGAGACCATCCTAGGTATCATGGCAAAACCCTGTCTCAACAAAATTACAAAGAATTAGCTGGATGTTCTGGCGTACAACTGTAGTCCCAACTACTTGGGAGGCTGAGGTGGGAGGATCACCTGATCACCTCAGGAGGTCGAGGCTGTGGTGAGACAAGATAGCGCCAGTGCACTCCAACCTGGGCAATAGAGTGAGACCATTTCCCAAAACAAACAAACAAAAGAATTCAGGGCTTTTCAGATATTGTCTGGGGCAGTGGAAGTACAAGATTGGAAGTAAATTGGAAGATTGAGGAGGTTACTATTTAAATAATATACATTTCAAGAAGAGAAGAAGTAATTGATGAAATTGAGGCTACAATGAGTATCTAATGCGCCTGAGCTGAATAAATACTTAAGCAGACAGGGCTGACTTAGTTCTAGGTAAGGCTGATAAGAAAAGTTACCTACCAGATTCCAAGTACCAATCAATCAATTGATCAAAATAGAAACATATACAATTGTAACCTTTCTGTCAGAAAAAAAGAAGTAACTTACAAAAGAAAAGTAAATCATCTAATAATGAACGTTTACTACATCTTTGGGCACTAGAAAATGGGGGAATTACGTCTATAAACTATTGAAAGAAAAGACTATATCAAGGACATCGTCTACCTGTCCAGGTGATAGAATGACATGCAAACATTTGCAGATAGCAGTGATGACTATGACAGCCACATACTTGACCTGAAGAATACGTATGAAAAAGAAATTAAATAAAAAAGCAAGTGAATCAGAATAAGAAAAGATACATAGTTGACTACATAAACATTAACATATTTGTAAAAAAATCAACAAAACCAGTTTATAGTTATAAACTTGAGAACTATTTGTAAGGTACATGACTAACAAAAGATTAATTATATAATATACAATGACACTTATAAATTAATAATACAAAGAAACAACTCAACAGATAAATGAACACAAGATAGAATACTGAAATCATAACGAAGCCAATACAGGTGGCGGCTAAGATGTCCGAAAATATTTTCATTCTCTCTATTGTTCAGGTAAGTGCAAATTAACATAACAATGATATATCAATGACCTATTAGATTTCAAAGGATATTTTAAAATGATAACATCTACTATTGGTGAAGATTCAAGAGATAATATTCTTAAATATTGTTGGCATAAAAATGATTTGTTCTAGCCGTTTAGAAAAGTGATGTGGCAATATTGATTTACATTAAAAATATAGATGTTCTTGGCCAGGCACAGTGGCTCATGCTTGTAATCTAAGCATGTTGGGAGGCTGACACAGGAGGATTGCTTGGGGCCAGGGGTTTGAGCCTAGCCTGGGCAACATAGGCAAGACTCTGTTTCTACAAAAAATTACAAAATTAGCTGGTCATGGTGGGATACCCCTACAGTCCTTGCTACTCAGGAGTTGAAATGGGAGGATGGTGGTTTGAGCCCAGAAGCTCAAAGCTGCAGTGAACTGTGATCGTGCCACTGCCCTCTAGCCTGGGCAACAGAGCAATACCTGGTCCTAGATAGACAGATAGATAGATAGATAGATAGATAGATAGATAGATAGATAGGCAGACAGACAGATAGATAGATAGAGGTAGATGATAGATAGATAGAGATGTAGAGATATTCTTGTAGCCAAAAGGTGTCATTCTACTGCTCTCTTTTAAATAAATAAATAAAAGAACGCAAATCTCTGTGCACATGCTTTATTGCAGGATTTTTGTAGTACCAAAAAAAAATACGACAGGGTGTTGGGTTTTTTTTTTTTTTTTTTTGTCTATCTGCAGGGGAAAGGAAATAACAAAACAGTAAAATTGTCACACATACATACACAAATTATATAAAATGTGTATGGTGTATTTGTATACGACACACATTTACCACATTTCAGCTACAGCACTTGTTCTGAAACACAAATTTGTCCCTATGTGATGGATATATTTGGGAACATTTGGAGCATAATGCGAATTTTCAGTGAGCTTATGTGAGACTTCTTTATTAGAAACACCAGGTGAAAGCAGAAAACCGCTCCCAGCTGAACCAGACGGTAGGAATACACATAACACCTGCATGCACACGCCACAAACACTTACCGGCCACCTCAGTTCACTGTATGTTTTCTCCTACAAGATTATCTTCTGTTTCCTGCTTATTTAAGAACTTTTCTATATGTATTTAAAAAAAAACTCATTCAATATCTCAAATGTATTTCATTATCCTGGTTCATAATGCCTAGCAGGGTGAGCAACTATCTACCTGTGAAGATCTTAAAGAGACAAAGCTGAATCCTGCAAAAGTGAGAACTGTTAGTGCTTGTAGTGGTTGGTTTAGTGGTTTCAAACCTCTCTAAAATTTGCAAAGCCTTCAGCTGTTGAGCAAAGCTGCAGGTGCAGAGAAAGCCTAAAATAAAATGTCCACACTAATACCAAAGTTAATTAAAGAAGAAGACTGTACATTGGGTCAAATATTCAATGTTGATCAAATAAAATATCTATTATAACCACGTGCTCAGAGGGTCTATATTTCAAAGACACAAAAATCTACACCAGGATTTAAGGCTGTAAAAGATCACTTGAGTGTTATGTTTGGTGCCTGGGACTATGATCTACACCCATCCACACTTGATGATACAAACTTCCAGATTCAGAGAACCCTCTTTCCACTACTTCACAGTAACTCAGAAGCTGCAGCCCATTCAACACCCACTGACACAAAAGACCTGAAAAATGTGGTAATTTTTTAAAGGTTAAGTGCCACATTTTTATTGCAGTACTTGTGGATTTTTCAATCATTTTTTATGTGTAAAGCTCTGCTACTGTTTTTATTAGGTTCCTGTCTTTTTAAAAAATATGTCACTGATGAAAATGTTGAATGCTTTGTCCCATGATCATTTTTTTTTCATGAGCTCTGTGGTTTTTATTGCTTGATTGTGCATAGCATAGTTATTTTTAGGAATGCAGGTAACTTTATGAAAGGACTTATTGTGTATATATCTATATCTATATATATATAGATATATATACACACACACCACACTCATCCATATCCATATAAAAATTGCATGTGATTATATAAGCATAAAAAATATGGCCATCACATATCTACACATGCTTAGATTAAATTAATGCAATTTCAGGGCCAGGTGTGGTGGCAAAGGCCTGTAATCCCAGCACTTTGGGAGGCCAAGGTGGGCAGATCACCTGAGGCCAGGAGTTCAAGACCAACCTGACCAACAGAGTGAAACCTTGTCTCTACTAAAAATACAAAAATTAGCTGGGCATGGTAGGGGCTGCCTGTAATCCAAGCTACTCAGGAGGCTGAGGTAGGAGAATCGCTTGAACCTGGGAGGCAGAGGTTGCAGTGAGCCAAGATATTGCCATTGCACTCCAGCCTGGGCAGCAAAATAAATAAAATAAAATAATGCAATTTCGGAATTTTCTTTTAGCTTTATGTCCTTTTATTTCTGTAGAGATGGGATCTTACTCTGCTGTCCAGGCTGGTCTCAAACTACTGGCCTCAAGCCATTCTCCCACCTCAGGCTCTCAAAGTGCTGGGATTACAGGCTTAAGCCACTATACCCTGGTAATTTTAAAAACAATTATTTATAAAATAACATAGAAGAAGCTTTTCTCATCATGAAAAGAAACAAGTAAAGAAATAAATGCCAGGAAATTCTAGGTTGTTTTAGCAGCAATTTCTTATCTCCCAGGAAAGACAAAAACACCATTATGGGAGCAGCTTAGCATAGCTTAAAAGCACAATTGGATGATATTTAATAGCAAAAGGATGCAACTTGGGACAGCTGTGGGATCCCATAAGCGCTAGACAGTACACACATTCTGAAGTGTAATGATGGTCAAGCTCTGTTACTAGACTGCATTATTCTGCTTAGTGCAGAAATTTCATGAAAAAGTTATAAGGATCTGCGGGAGGATGTGCTGAGAACTCTCAGAATAATTTATTAGTACATATACTGTTTTATTTGTCACTGAGTTTTGTCTTCTCACACCCACACTTGTCACAAGCTGTCTTTAAGCACCGCTCTTCAGAAGAGGTCTGTTTATTGAACCCCAAAGTGAAAGTTTTCTGAAAGACTCTTTGCTCACTTGTTTTTGTTTTCTTGCAGTCTACTCTCTGAAGGTTGTTCTAAGGGTCTGTGAAAGCAACAAGAGGAAGTTCTTGTAGGCCGAAAAAGGAAGAAAAGAAAAAGAAACAGAGGATGAGAGGTTGGTGTCCCTCTTGTGGGACAAAGACACCCAGCAGTACTGTCTTTGGGGACCAGAGAGAAATTCAGAGAATCTGGAGCCACAATGTGGCTGGTTAAATGGACCAGAGATTCTCAACCTCACCAAGGATTCCTGTGCCTCAACCATGACCAAGGAAATAGCCCCTCAAGGGCTTGACCATGAAAACTATCGGGGTGACTAACAAAATGGAAGTTAGAACCCCTATTCTTGCCCACAAGTTCATGTTAAGCAGGTTTGTAACACGAAACATAAAAACAATCCAAAACATACTAGCTTTCACTGCTTCCTTCTTTACCTGGATACCTCCACAGTGTGTTTCCATCCTTACCAATTTCCCCATGCGCCATCTCTCATTCTCCACCCTGCTCTCTGGCTCTTCTTGTCTATCTTCTATCTTTAGGTCCTACTGGCCAGACTTGACCTAGAGTTCTATAGCGGTTTATAAGCTGCCTAGTTCTTATCTTCTCTATGGGGGGAGGAAGAAGATGACCTGTCTCACACCAGAAGGTTCCGTCAACTGACAGTAAGAAAGAGCAGTGGGTTATAGACAGTTAAGGAAGACAGAATTCCAGAAAATGATAATCCTATGAAAGATTATACATAGCAGAAAAAAATATAGAATGCATTTAACCAATTAGAACTTTTACTATTGCCATTACTTGCAATTAGGAACATATTGGCAGTCCATATGGGAAGAATTCTAGGCCCTAATAGTAGTAGCCTATATATATTAAGACTATGATAATACCACCAGATGTCTTTCATCATGAGAATCATAAATATATTTGCTCATTTATTCACTGGGATTGCAAACATGTCAAGAGATACGTGTTATGCCTTATTATGAAGAGAATAAGCATACCATACAAAAAGCTTTAGAATACACCAGCTTACCTGAAAAGTAGATGATCTAATGTGGTCCTCTCTACTAGCTGTAAGTTTATTTGATAGTCTAAGGGAAAGTGAAAGGTAGTATATATTATATCCAATACTATGCTCTACATTACTAAGCTTAAAAGATATTCTTCTGCCAGAGAGGATGTAGTCACTTCATTTTTCAAATCCTGGGTGACATATACTATCACATAGTTTGTTAAAAGCAACATACAGAGAAAGATGTATATTTTCCACTTTTAAAGCCCTCTTCATTTCTCTGAGATCAAGAAAAGGATAGAACAGGAGACAGCTCATAAAATTTAAAAAGAAATATTCAAAAGCACATCAATTCAACAGATATTCTCTTCACCTAAGTATTTTTATTATACACAGTTCTGTAGCTTCCTGGAAGACATTTTACCATGAAAAAATTGTGTCTTTTATTGCCTGGAATAATTGGCATCAAAGTAAATTGAAATCTTTGTGTTCTCAGCAAAACCGGGAGAAGAAAACAAGTTCACTTACTTTTATTTTTAAGAAAATATTTGGAGTAAAACTCAGCGACTACAGTCTGGGAGGCAGGGGTGGATTTTAAATTTATAAAACTTTATTCTCTGGAGATGGTATTATCAGATGCCTTTTATTTAAATATCAAAATCAAGGGTATACTTATTCTTTGCCATATGATAAACTTGTCATCCAACAATTCTGAAATATGGAATAAATCATAATCATGTTTCTGTTACATCAACATTTTCACTCTGAGTCCTAGGTCTAGTGGTAAAGTTTTTTGGTCACTCTTTCTTTCTCCTTTCAGGAGTCCTCTTCTCCTTAAAACTTCCTCAAACCTGACCATCATAATGACCTCCTGTATATACAAATATTCATATTGCACATCATATTTCCAAAGAGGCTAATTTTCAGGTCTGCTATTGTGGTTCAAATTTAATCATTCCAAATATGATTTGATAGCTGTTAATAAAGGTGTGATACCACCTAGAATTATTTCCAGTTTACTAAGTTTCCTTATTAATAGAAAATTATTTAAGACACAAAGAAGACTCTGTAACAATGGAACTCATTTGATAGAGGAGGGAAGGATTGGGAATTCGTTTGTTGTTTTTTTCATGGTGGGATGGAATAGTACATGCAGGCTGGAGGGAGGCCAGTGACTCTCTGTCCTCACAATCCCTCCATGTACAAAGCTAAGTACTCCCAGACTCCCAGTGAATGCCCTAAGCAATCCTACAGATGACCGGAAGCAAAAATTAAGCTCAGGAAACCCCATAATGTTAAGAAATATGTCAATGGAGGAGTTTATCTTACCAAATCTAATTTGGGAAAATATGAATGGACTTGATATGATGGTAAGTTCTAAAATCACATAAAACAAATTTGATGCCTACATTAGTCCATTTTCACACCACTGATAAAGACATACCTGAGACTGGGAAGAAAAAGAGGTTTTAATGGACTTACAGTTTCATGTGGCTGGGAAACCTCACAATCATGGTGAAAGGCAAGGAGGAGCAATTCACATCTTACATGGATGGCAGCATGCAAAAAGAGAGAGAGAGCTTGTGCAGGGACATTCTGCCCTACAAAGCCATCAGATCTCATGAAACTTATTCACTATCATGAGAACAGCACAGGAAAGACCTGCCCCCATGATTCAATTACCTCCCACTGGGTCCCTTCCACAAAATGTGGGAGTTCAAGATGAGATTTGGGTGGGGACACGGCCAAACCATATCACTACCGTATGTAAATTTAAAAAAGAGAGATGGAATGATACATTCATTAAAGCTTTTTATCATTCTTTTGTGGTTTCCCTTATCTCTCCCTTATATACTAGACTTCAAGGTATTGTGCTAAAAATGTATTTTAAAAAAACATTTTGAGCATACTATGAAAACTTATAGCCTCATCATTTTGCATTTAAATGTACTAATGATATTGAATTCATAATTAGTGCTTTGATTTTTTGGGGAGGAAAACCTGGGATCCTTAAAGCTAAAGTAATTTTAATGAAAATAACTGTGTATGTTATGTTGCCTAGGAAAAAATGCAAGATAGTATAAACAGAAATTATTTTGAGTTATTGATTTGTCTACCAGTTTGTTTATCATTGGCTGTTAAACCAATATGCCAAGTTCTTTGTTGGAAATTCTAAGTTAAACATACTGCATATATACTGCCTGAATTTTAATTGAACAATATCATAAGATAATATGGCATTTAATTCATGGTTACTTATAAGAAAGAGCTTAATGCAGTAGTATGAAAACTGAAAATTGAACAGGAAAGGAGATGGTTTTTTTTTTCTATTTATATTGTACAGTACAGTTTCCAAGGACATATAACGACTGTTGGCATTTATATATCAAACAAGAGCATGACATCGACATATGTAAAGAGAGAACTGAGTAACATATGAGGAGTGATGTACCAAATGCCAATCATGGTAGAAATGTTAGATCAAATAGACAAATAATAGGACACAGAGGATGTGAATAAAAACAATATGATTTTATAGCTATGTGTATAGGGAGAGAAAATTCTGCCCTACAGAGAAAAATAAACTATATTATATATAATAATAGAGGGACATTTATAATAAGCAAATATATCACACTAGAAATAAAATCTCAAAAATTCCCTAAAGACAACATGATAAAGGCTCTATTCTCTGATCTAAATGCAATGAAGGTAGAAATTAGAAACAAAAGAATAAAAAATAAAATCTAATGCTTGGGGCAAACAAGTTTTAAAGACAATAAATTCCTCCTTTTTTGACATTTGGATAGTCAAAAAATAATCTCTGAAATGACGATGTATTTTTAAATGAGCAATATGGGAAACACTACACACAGAATGCATCCACACTGGTACACATAGAATAACATTTAACTTAACGTATACGTAGGTATAAAAGAAATGTAAAGCATAAAATGACTTAGGTCTTCTTTAAAATAAATGAAAGATCAACAATAAAATATAGAAGAGAACAACTGATTAAAAATAAAAACGGAAATTAACATGTTAAGACAAAAAAGAAACTTCATCAATGAGACACATTCTTTGAAATAATCTGTAAAGTATACCTTGCTTGTTCGACAAATGATGAAAATAAGTCATTAAAATATAAATCACCAGTAATAATAAAAGGTCTATATAACAACCATACTAGAAAATCATTTAAAACATTATAAAAGAAAAAAAATATTTATACTCTTGAAAATCAAAGTAATTTTCAATTGATTGGAACTAGATCTAGAAAACACACAAATTGCTTAAACCTTATTTAAAATGGTAGATTATCTAAATATACTAAAAAGTCAAAGAATAAAAAACAAACAATTCCATTCAATTAGCACCAAGTGTCTGATTAAAAATATATATGTAATAGTATAATTCTTATATTCAAACTATTACAGAGTACTTAAAAATATAGAAACTTCACAACCAAAATTCTGCTAACAAATTACTAGAATACAGAAGATAAAAACAGTATAGATTAGACTCATTTTGGTGCAAAATAAATGAATAAAACATTAATAAATACAATTTAGCCAAACATTAAGTGAACGATCCATCATGAGCTAGCAGACTTTATCCAATAAATAAAAGCATTATGTATTATTAAGAGATTTATTATAATTTAGTATTATATATTAAAAGAGAAAACACAAAATCTTCTTAATGGATGACAAAAAAGTCATTTGATGAAATTTAATAGCCATTAATAATTGATTTTTAAGAAATGCTTAGCAGGCTAGAAATATAAGGATATGCCTATAACTTGGTAAGAAATTTACCTGAACTATGGTCTTAACAGTGGACATTATAAATGGAACAAGACATAGATGTTTAGTATTTTTAGTACTGTATTGGAAGTTCTACTTAGTTCAATGGTATAAAGAAAAAAAAACTATTTAAGTCTTAGAATTATACATGATAACACTTCCTCTTATAATATCCAGACAAACTAACTGAAAAACTCTCTGAACAAATGTATATTCTATAATGTGATAGGTGCAATCTAAATGTTCAAAAATCAATAGCTTTCTCTATGCCAATGATAATCAATTTAGGAAAGTTAAATTTGATGTTAAATTTAGGTACCCTCCTATCTTCAGAGTATAAAGTGAGGATTAAATTATAGAGATATATGGCTAGTGACCAACCTAATAATCCATTATTGTCTTCTTTAGAACTAATAGTACTTCTATATTATTGGGGGACAGCAATGTGCCCAGCAAAACATTAATATTTTCCAGCATCCCTGAAGGTAGATATGGCTATGTTCTGACCAATCCCATAGAAGTGAATATTTTAGAGAAAGATTTCATAGACAGCTCTTTAAAGTAGATCGAACAGGTAAAGGAAGGTCTCTTTCTCCATTAACCTCTTCTGTTTCCTGCTGTCTGGAGTGCAGGCACCATGGCTGGAGTACCAGCAGTCCAGGAACAATGGAACAGAAAAAAAACAAGAAGCGTGGGGACTGATTTATTCCTGGAGCTGACAAAACAGCATGGGCTATTTGCATGGGAAATAAAGCTCATGTGTGTTTAAGTTGCCACTATTGTTTTTTGATTTGTCTCTTATGTGCAGTAAATCCTAACAATAATTTACACAAGGTGCAAGGAATTTTGAGATGATTGAAGATAATGCTTTAAATGGCGATACGGTATACCACAAGTGTTAGAAAGAAGAAAAGCATTTGACAACATCAACCCCTCCTGCTGCTACTTACGGAATTAGAGCAGTTATTTTATTAGGAGACGGTGAAATCCACATACTGATATTGGAAAAATATATATTCCCACTAGTGAGACAGTACACATCTAACAGTGTTCTTGGAATAGGTGTCCTCTAGTCCCATGCTACTCTAAATATCATTAGGCTTTGTTTTTCCTTTTGAAATTATTCCAGGATTTAAGAGGCAGAGATCATGTGGTAAAGCTTCATTACTCAATATAAGAATGGCATAGGCGGGGTGCAGTAGCTCATGCCTGTAATCCCAGCACTTTGGGAGGCCAAGGTGGGCGGATCACTTGAGGTCAGGAGTTCAAGACCAGCCTGGCCAACATGGCGAAACCCTCTCTCTACTAAAAATACAAAAATTAGCTGGGCGTGATGGTGCGTGCCTGTAATCCCAGCTACTCGGGAGGCTGAGGCAGGAGAATTGGTTGAACCTGAGAGGCGGAGGTTGCAGTGAGCCAAGATCACGCCATTGCATTGCAGCCTGGGCAATGGAGTGAGACTCCATCTCAAAAATAAAATAAAATAAAATAAAGAATGGCATAAAACTTCCAAAATCTTACTTTTGAGGGAATCACACTTTCGTATGGATGACGTCATTAAAAAATTTTACTTAGGATAATTATGTGATTACTATGAGCAAAACATACCCAATGTGCTCCAAGTTATTAGTTTTATTCAGTTCTTTTCTTCAAGACCATCTTTTCCTTAAGTATAAAAAGTACGCTTTAAAGGTAATGATGTAATGAACAGATGCAAAACTTACCCTAAGAAAACAGATTTGAAATTTCTCCTCTGAATGTTACATGCTACATGGCACATTAAAAGGAAGACCATACTAAACTTGTAGCTGGCTCTATTTTTAACAAATTCAAAGTCATAATATTAGCACAAAAACAATCCTTTGAGAGTGTTCTGAGAGTAAGAGGTATTAATTGTGTTACATTGATTGAGTTGATTTTTTGTATATATATCAGTTATGAAAACAAAAACATAACAACCACACTTCGTGAGTATATGCTGGGAAATAACATAGAGATGATTTATTTAAACCTTCCATAGTCAATGGGAAGATCCCATTCAGTCAAATACCATAATCCATAGTCAATAGGAAGGTCCCATTCAGTCAAATACCATAATCCATAGTCAATAGGAAGGTCCCATTCAGTCAAATACCCTAATCCATAGTCAATGGGAAGGTCCCATTCAGACAAATACCATAATCCAAAGTCAATGGGAAGGTCCTATTCAGACAAATACCATAATCCATAGTCAATGGGAAGGTCCCATTCAGTCAAATACCCAATAATCAGGGACGGGTGTCCTACTGGGTACAGAACTGTAAAGATTGGTAGGAATGAAATAATCCACCTCCAACAACTATCAGGGAGGCTCCCCTCAGGACTCAGTTAGAGGAATATCAGGAACTACAAAAGAGTAATGTCAGATGCTTGGAGGAATTTGGGACAGATAAGAGCTGAGATGTCAGGTAGAGAAGAAAAAAAGTATTTTGGAACCTCACTAGAGAATAGGAGAGACTCCTGAAGAATGACCAGGGCCAGGCTCCATAGATGGTCTCATGAATATTACAGATATTTACAAAAACTGCAGCAATTCTTGAAATTTTAATTTTCTGTATAATCTGACATCGGACTTTTTTCTATTGCTGCCAGCTTTTAAAAAATTCTGAAAAAAAATTCCCAAAACAAAGTGTTCTGACTGTGGAATAAATGTGTAAATGCAAACTTCTGATATGGACTATAAAACGGAATACAGCCTCCTGTTGTCCTCCATCTCTACTGGCCACCATACATATTATCTTCACATGAGGTTTTCATCAATTTCCATACATGCCTTTTGTTGCCTTTCTAATATCCACAACTGATCGTTTGCTCTGCTTGGAATGCACCTCTTCACATTACATCTTGATGGAATTCTAAATATTATTTCAAAGCCCAACTTGAATGCCCTTTCCTTTATGGAAAGTTATTGGATTGCCTCATCCACTCTATCTCTCCTCTTCACCCCAAGAACAGCATTAGTTGATGCATCCATCTGTATATAGCACCATATAGTACTTGATCTGTACTATAGAAGTTGTTTGATTGCATATCTGTCCTCCCTGCCCCTTATCACAAATAGCACTGAGAATACTTTAAGAGCTAAGATCTCTGGCACATAATGGCATTTGATGCACATGAATGAAAGGGGATTGGAGAGAAAGTTGCAGCATGCTAGCTGAGGGAAAGATAACCTGATGGAAGTTTATGAGTTAAGAAAAGGGAGGAAACATTCACTTCTAAGCCCCTTTCTTCTTTTCCCTCAACTACTTTCCACTTCTTATTTATGCCCAGCTTTCTGGCCCTGAAGCCACTGTCTATGTATAGAGTAGAAAAAGGCCTTAGAGAAAACCTTGTCGTACACCTCTAATTTTCTAGTAAGAGCAGTGACCTGTCAAAGGGCTTAACACTAAAAAGTTCAGACATAAGAGGGGAATATATTTTTTCACTCCTAGAAAAATAATGTTTTATTTGTATCTTTGATAACTATTAAAATTTAGAATAAATTATGTTGTTCTGAGAGGTTAAAAATGTTTTGGGGAACTTAACTACTGTCTGAAAACATCATGATTATAAAAGTCATTTGGATTTGTGAAAGGACTTACTTTTATAAAATATAACATACTCTGTAAACTGACAATTAATTGTATATAAATATGGTAAAATATTACAGAACAAAAGTACAAACTCCATATTTCTTTGATGCATCCCCAGAGCCCAAAGCCCTTGGCAAAAACTAGACACCCAGTGAATATTGTTGAACGAATGTGCACATGAATGACATAGTACGCCATATTCAGAAACGACTACAAGATTATTTATTATATAGTAGACTATTTTCAGAAAAAAAATTCTAAAATATTATACTTTATGTATGTTGAAGTTTTCTCATAGAGGCAGACACAGTAACAGTAAACAGCATGGGCCGTTGCCCAAGTGCCCGCAAAACATTTTTAACCTCTTAGAATAGCATAATTTATTCTAAATTTTCATAGTTGTTATCAAAGATATAAACAAAACATCATTTTTCTAGGAGTGAAGAAATATATTCCCCTTTTAAGTCTCCACCTTTTTAGGGTTAGGCCCCTTGGGTGAAAAATCCTAGTGCCAGCATTTATAAGGTCTTTGAACTTGGGACATTATAAACCTGACCAAGGCTAGGTGCGATGGCTCACACCTGTAATCCCAACACTTTGGGAAGCCAAGGCAGGAGGATCTCTTGAGCCCAGGAGTTTGAGACCAGCCTGGGCAACATAGTGAAACCCCATCTATACAAAAGTAAAAAAAAAAAAATAGCCAGGTGGGGTGGTGCATGCCTGTGGTCTCAGCTCCTAAGGAGGCTGAGGTGGGAGGATTCTTTGAGCCCTGGAGGTCAAGGCTGCAGTGAGCCGTGATTGTGCCACTTCATTCCAGCTGTGGCAACAGAGCCACACCCTGCCTAAAAACTAGAAATATATAAATAAAGCTGACCTATGTAATGGGTATAAATATCCCATTCTGTGATATCTCGAAACTGTAATTGGGCAGACTACTCACCTAAAAACAAAAGATCTGTTAATACATTCTGAGCAAATAGTGAAATTATGGAGCAGCTGGTTTGCTATTCCTTTCATGACATCCATTAAAAAAGGTGAAAATATCCCATTGAATTGGCTTCATTTCCATTAACTTATTGAAATTATCACTCTAATCTAAGCAAGCCAAATGACATTGTTTACTAGGGACTTCTTTATGAGTATTTTCTATCTTTTCGGAAATTATAAAGATATTAGTTCAATTGCCAGCTGATTTAGGGACCCAATAAATACTGATATAACATTTTAGAACCTCGTGTTTAACATAGTATGTTTAGCATTTTTTTCTACATATAGTAAAATTTAAAAACCTATATTTTTTAGAAATAAAAACTTTTTAGAAAGTGAAAGCAAGGTTTTCTTAAATACCTCCTAATAATTCCATAGTCATTTCAACGTCATCAAAAGCTTGAACCTCAAAAAGGCATTGATCATATGTGGCCACTAAACACAACAGTCAGAAACACTACCGATGTCTGCTGCCTGTAATCACTAACATCCCTGAATCAATAACACAACACCACATGCCTAGAATTATAACTTCGTAAATCATTACATCCACATTTCTGTCATGAACTGCTGATTCTTCCTTTTTTAAAAAAATACATATAATAGCCAAAGGGATTGTAAGGATCCTACTCCAGGGCCTGCTTGTAGGTGTTCTTCAAGACTTCTTGGGTGATTTTCCACTTGCTGAGAAAATGTGCAAATCCTTTATAAGAAAATAACATTATGGGAAACACAATTAAACCGTTCCATTTTACAAATCCAGCCGACTTTAAAATGTCTATTCATTTATCTTACAGGCAATAACCCTCGAGCACTGTTCACAACTACACTGTTAATTCACATTCACGTTCCACTTTATAAAGAGGAAATAAATTCTTCAATTTGTGCAGTATAAAATTTCCACTTCTCTGTTTAATTGTTTCAGAGGAGTTGCAGATGAGAACATTGATTCTGAACTCTATTTCTTTTTATGTGTTGGGTTATCTTTCTTAATGACAAACAAAAATGTATATATATTTATGGTGTGCAATGTGATGTTTTTATACATGTATACATTAAGAAATGGGTAAGTCAAGTTATTTAACATACATGTTACTTATCACACATTATTTTTTTCTGGTGAGAACTCTTATAATCCCCTTTCTTAGAAATTTTCAAGAATACAGTATGTTGTTATTAACTATAGTCACTGTGATGTACAATACATCTCTTAAATTTATTTCTTTTTTCTAACTAAAATTTTGTGTCCTGTGATGAAAATCTCTCCAGTCCCCTCATTCCCTAGCCTCTGGTAACTATCATCTTACTCTCTGTTTCTATGAATACCACTCTTTTAGATTCCACATATTAGTAAGATTACATGGTATTTGTCTTTCCAAGTCTGACCTATTTTAGTTGACATAATGTTTTCTAGGCTCATCCATGTCATCACAAGTATCAGGCTTTCCTTCTTTTTTAAGGCTGAATAATATTCCATTGTGGACACTTAGGTTGATTCCATACCATTGCTATTGTGAATAATGCCGCAGTGAGCATGACGGTGACGGTCTCTCTTCAGCATAATGATTGCTGTCTTTTGAATATATACCCAGTAGTGGGAATGTGATGATCTCTGCTTCTACGACACTCCACAAGTCCTCACTTAACATCATGGATAGGTTCTTGGAAACTGTGATTTTAAGTAAAATGGCGTACAATGACCAATTATATGACATGTAATGATATATGGGACCACTTTTCCCACAGGCAAATTGATATAAACAAGAGCATAATTTCCTACGGTATACTTCTGATCACAAAACATCACCAAAGTTCTAAAAAAGATCAAAGCATATACAATATTAAACATGAAATACATATGAGCTATACATACATTTAAGAAGGATTAATTAAAACAAGTCATTTAAGTATTTATCTGCTTATTCCAGCTCAGTGTTGTTGGTGGCTGGAGCCCAGCACAGCAGCTCAGGACAACAGGCAGGACCCCCGTTGGCCAAGAGGTCCTCTTATCATAGGGTAACTTACACACATCCACTCACCCACACTCACTCACATTCACCCACACTCACCCACACTCACTCACATTCACCCACACTCACCCACACTCACATTCACCCACACTCACCCACACTCACTCACATTCACCCACACTCACATTCACCCTCGTTCACACACTCACCCACACTCACACTCACCCACAGTCACTCACATTCACCCTCGTTCACACTCACTCTCACTCACATTCACCCACACCCATCCACACTCACCCATACTCACTCACATACACCCACACTCACCCACACTCACATTCACCCTCGTTCACACTCACGCTCACTCACACCGGGGCCATGGAGACACGCATTCATCTAATGGGCTCAGCTTTGGTGCATGAGAGGAACTTGGAGTCCCTGGAGAAAACCCATGCAGATATGGGGAGAGCATGCAGACCGCACACAGACAGGGGCCTGGATAGAAGCAATTGTTTTTCTCATAAAAGTTATGACAAAAGCATGTTGAATGAAACGATGTTATTGAGGACCTGCTGTATCAGAACACTGAAAAAAAAGTGGGGTTACTGTGGATCAACAGAGAGAAAAATAACAAAGAGAAGACAAGAAGACCTAAACCTTAATGTTCAGAAAGTTCTCCATTTTATTGGGAGAAAAATAAAATAACCATAGTGTAACTTACTAATATACCTATATGTACATGAGCATATGGATATTTAGTCTGGACTAATTTATCAATTTATTTATCTACACATCTATTTATATTCATCACTAATTAAGACACACACAGACACACACAAATATATGTACATGGTAAGTAAATATAATATAGTGAAAGGTGTGTCGTATGGAGTTTACCACTGTCAAAGGTATTAGCCGTGAATTTGAAACCAGCTAACTTTGTGCAAATGTTATGCTTCATAGCCATTGAAGATGCAGAAGATATACATAGAAAATTCAGTAGCCTCATCCCTAATGAGGCTCTATATGACCCTCACAGCATTTTTCATGATCTTAAGCCTCCTTCTTTATTACTTATTATTACTATTTGAGATGGAGTCTTGCTCTGTCACTGAGGCTGGAGTGCAGTGGCTTAATCTCGGCTTGCTGCAACCTCTGCCTTCCAGGCTCAAGTGATTCTCCTGCCTCAGCTTCCTGAGTAATTGGGATTACAGGCATGTGCCATCATGCATGGCTATTTTTTTTTTTTTTGCATTTTTAATAGAAATGGGGTTTTGCCATATTGGCCAGGCTGGTCGCGAAATCCTGACCTCAGGTGATCCGCCCCCCCTCAGCCTCCCAAAGTGTTGGGATTACAGGCATAAACCACCATACCCAGCCCATTGTTTATTATTAACACTACTAGAGTTAGTTAGTATTATTATGCTTATCTTCCCCTTCCAGAAGGTAAATTCCCTAAGGACAGGGACTTTGTCATTTTTATCACTGCATACCACACTGAAGCCAAGAACTTGGCCCTTAGCAGATATTTGTTTAATATTTGCCAAATGGATACATACATGAATGTACCACTAATTCTTACTATATGACGTTAAAGGCAGGTGGTGCTGGTAGGGAGGGTGACTTCATGTATCAGATAATATAATGACATTAATAATGATAACAAGTTACCTACTTTGGAAATGTGAAAATACATTTTAAAGTTCAGACACAAAGCTCTAGTTGATCATGGTATGCATTCGTCTAAACTTAGAAAATGTCCTAGAAGGATAGTAAAGAGAAAGAATGGAGTAATATTCAGCTTCTGATACAAAGGAGATGGTACGTGTGCTCCCCATCCCTGTTTAGTATATCAAGGGCCAAAGCCAAAGCACCTAACCTCTGGGTCTACCCTGTGATTGTTAAAAGATATTAAAGTGTAGAAAAGCCTATCCTTTTCTGGCCCGAAGGATTGTAGGAAAAGAAAAGTGGGAAAATAGGGTGCGACAGAGACAGCCAGACAGCCAGCCAAGTCATCAGACACAACACAGGGTGAAACAAGGTAGTTGGAAAAATCCTAGAAACAGAAGCCTCTGGATGACCCTCCTGCTGACTCCACAGCCTTACTTTGGACCTCTCAGACTTGCTCCTCCCATGTCAATGTCAACAGAAAGGTAGGCCACAACATGGTCAGACAAAGGGAGGCTTTCCTGAGGCCCTGTCCTTCGTCCCCATGTGCCATGCAGGGGACACAGATGTGAATGAAAAGGCTGGCTCTGAAAAAGTGAGGTGGCAGAGCAGCCCCACCACTGAGGCTACTGTCCAACCATATAGATATTTGTCCTTCCTGAGCTCTGGACACCCTTGGGAAAAGTTGAGGCTCAGTCAGCAGCAGGGTAGTAAGATATTTGACTGAAGAGCCTCTGACTCCAACAGGTCAGTTATTGCTCAGGTGGACAGACAGGACTGATGCATAAGCCCAAGAGACAGAAGGAGGTAAACCACACTGTGCCCAAAGACCTGGACTTTCCAATGCCCTTAAGAGGCTGTGTAAGACTGTCCTCAAAAATCAAAGCAGTGAAGCAAAGCTGAACTACAAACCTGGGTAGTCTGATTCTGCGCCCTGAGATTTCCCCTTATGTTCCTTTTTTTAAAACATCTAGAATGCTATCTCTTGGTTTCTGGGTTGTTGTGTGTTAACTTTGTCTCCCAACCTCATACACATAGCTGCAAGACAACTACTTACATTACAGGGAGAAGATGAATATTAAAAGGGATGAAGGTATGGGTTTTGCAGTGATATTGAGCTGGGTTGGAAACCTAGCCCTACCGCATTCTACCTGTGTCACCTTGATCAAGTGTAACTTTAGTTTAATTGTCTATAAATGGACATAGCAGCAGTATATATTGCAAAGGGTTGTTGTAAGAGTAGAATGAGATCATGCGTGTAGCAGTGCACACAGGGAGTGCTAGCAAATGTAAGCTGTTGCTATTGAGGAAGAGACAAGTTCTTTATCTTAAGGTGGCACAGACACTAAGGTGTAGTAGAATTAATTCCAAATCTTCCTAATCATAGCCAAACCTGATTCTTTACTATTTCCAACCACTGAGTTTCCTCTTCCAAGTGTTAAATCATGTTACTCCTTCTTCCCAAAATTTCCTGTCAACCTCATCTGCCATCTTGCAAACCTTTGCATCTTTTATGACAAGAATAAACAACACTTTTTCTACAAGCCTTCCCCACACCTCCAAGTGGACATAATCTCTTCCTCCTTCGAAGGGTTGTAGCACATGATTTGTAACTCCTTCACCATATGCATCATTTTTTCTGTGTAGGATTTCCGAATGGCATCTTACAGGTGTTGTGTAAAGCAATCCCTTTCCTTATCATGCAGTAAACAAATGAAGTCAACAACTATATCATTTAAGCATTTTCTGTGGATTCAAGGACCAAAATATCTTCAGATACTCAAAGCATATGGACCTGCATCTAGCCGACCATCAAATTCCTTTTGAATGTGCTGTTGGCACCATTGTCATGAAATTATTCCCCACACGACCTACTAATTTAGTTTTTTAACTCACACAAACTGGAATAGGTGATATCAATTCTGCATGTCTTAAACTTTCACTTTTCACATCAGAAGTACCTTGGCATCTTGGCAAGAGCTCAGAATGGACAGCTGGAAAGCATGGGTTACAAAACCAATACTGCTGCTAAGTATCTTTACTATCTTAAATTGGTCATTATTCTCTTTGAGCCTCCATTTTTAAAAATCTGTGATACAAGAGGATTGGACTTGATTGCCCCAGGTACCTACTAGCTCTAACATTTCATGATGATGTTATTTTACTCTCTTCTATTCCTCTAAGACAAATAAAGCCTTCCAGCTTTAAACAGCACTAACCTTAGTAAAGAGTCGACTCATTTGTTTAGTTCACAGTGTTATTGGAATGACCTTTATGATGCAGTGCCTCCTGTGACACATGATAGAATACCAAAAGTCACAGTCCGCAGCTCAGTCTAATAAAAAATACAGTTTTAATTGTGGGTTGGCCCCTTGCATCATATTACCTTAATGAGACAGCAAAGTGCAAGAACTAGATTTCTCTTGCAAGTACATACCTTGGTTTGCAAATTTCCTAACACATAGTGACAGCGTTGAACTTAACTATAAATGCATGTTGAACTTTGCAGTCCTGATGCAATAGGAAGTAGTTTAATAAGAACATCCTGCAAGTTCCCAGCACATAAAGTAAGCTGGCCATCCTGAAACTCACTTCCCTTTGCTGCAATATTAGTTTATGCTAAATTTCTTTCTACCACCGAATAAATGTCCTATTTTTATCTCATACTAACACCAACCTTGCCCTCAAAGTGTTTATAAATAAAAATGCTAATATCTATGAAATGCTTCTGAACTAGTGTGCTCAGTGTGCCTGAGGAACTTTTATCTCTCACACTTGACAACCTCATCTTTGATAAAGTTGAGATCAAACCACCCCTTATAATCATTCCTTAATTTGATTCTCATGATCACTCAGCCCAACTAGCAAGGACATCCTGTCTCTCTTCGCCAAGACAGAAGATAAGAAATCCTTTATTATATTGAACCCCTCCATTTTCCTCACAATCTCAGGCTTTTTTGTAAAGATTATAATTTAACCTCTTCCTTCCTTCTCATTTTGAATTATATTATATGGATTTCCTGTTTAAATTTCTCCATAGCTTAAGAGAAATAGAGAAATCTATTCCTAGTCTACTCTATTTGTCTGGGTACTTGACTACTTCTATAAAATCATCTCACTCCATTATCTGCACACCATCCTCCATCACCTTGCACTCTGGTCCCACCAAGTCTTCCTGGTGACACAAATCTTCCAACGTGAAATAATGAGTAGCAAGCTATGAGAATAAAGAAAGGATCCATATGAATATGTAAAACCCAACATTTGCCTGAAAACATCCAAGGCACCATGGACCAGTTGTGTCAGTGAACAATCATTGCTCACTCCTAGTACCTCATGGCAGCAGATATCTTTACTTTGCCTCTTCTACCTCTCTACTTAAGGTATTGGTTCATTAATTGATGCTTAGACTTAGAGACAAAGCAGTTTGCTACTGTGGCAGGCATTCCACTAAGGGTGTTCCGCTAAGGTACAGGGAGAAAGGATGTAGGTTGTCAACTCAGCTCAGTAGATGTTACAAAATCATCTCCTCCACTGGCATTTATGTCACAATTGCCAGTGGAGATATTTTAGAACGACCATGTCTCCAGTAGCTTTTCTGTTTATTCTTTTTTTCCTTTTTAATCTTGAAACAATTTAGATACATTGATGTCTGGATAACAGAAGTTGACGGCAAAGAGAAATGAAAAGCCCCTTTTCACTGGAGTCAGAGTGGAGAGGTGTAGTTACATGATTAGTGAGCTTGGCCCAGCATCTGCACTTCACTTCACTGAAAGCAGTCAGAAAAATGGCTAATGTTTATTTAGCATCTAGTGTTTTTCAAAGTGCTTTACAGAGATCACTTCATTTAATCCTAAAAACAATCCTTAAAGAAGGAGTGGAGGTTATATCATTATCCTCATTTTACAACTGAGTAAAGTGAGGTACAGAAAAATTAGGCAAAGTTCTCACCAGAGAGACTGAGATTTGTGCATAGGCATTCTGCCTCCATAATACATCTCTTCAAATAAAATACTGGGCTACCTATTGTGTCCAACGACAAACAAGGAAAATATGAAGATTACTCAGGCAAATGGTTGTCTGTTGTCTTCCATGGCCCAGCTAGACTTTGTTGGTAAAGTATCAGTCTTTATTTCCACCAGCCATCTGCCTACTATTTGTACTAATTCAACATAAAAAGAAGAATGAGACAGATGCTATTTTAACCTCCTAGACTATAAACCCTGTATTCATTTGTTTCTTATAAAATTAATTTTGAACTGATTATTTTAAATTATCTGCCTCTTTGGAAGAACACAACCATTTTTAATTGTGAATATATTTATTCTTTCCATTAGTAGATTTAACATGAGTGTCACAAGCAACTTCAAAGGTGTGTGGTATGATGGATGAGCTTGGACCAAATCCTAGTGCCTCCTACTTGAGTGGGTGGCCAGTACAAATTGGGCCAATGAATGAATCAACAGTACCTCTATCATTTTCACATAATCATTATTTATTCCATGTCTCTCTTGAAGCAGTATGAAAAAAAAATGCTGAAAACCTAAGTTTATGGTTCATGTCACAATAGTAAGAATGTACTAAAATGTATAATACAATTTATTTTGGTGTAAAATATTCTATTTTCAAGATGAATACTTAGAACCTTTTAAGACAATAAATGGTTCACTTACATTTTAGAATTTCTGTTACTATATTTTAAGGGTAATTTAGATGTTTTGAACAATTGGGTGGTCTGGGGATTTATGAAAGTAAATAATGTTGAGATTCTACTCTAGTGTTGTAATAGAGGATTTTAATATAAATAGTTTGAAATTGTATAAATATTTTCTGGTTGTGATACTTGTGCTATTTGGAATATCAGAATACCAGGAAATGTGGATGTATAAATTTCAAAATATGTATAAATTACATTACTATGATTTTCAGTTTCTTGTAACAATAAAAATATCAAAAATACATGTTTGTCCTGTCCCTTTGGAATGCACTCCACTCACAGTCTGGTGTCTTCACATACTTTTGCTTTGTTAGTGTGTCAAAGCGGGGGTAATTTTAAAAAGTGGAGAAACACTAAATCAAACAAAACAGTGTGTTCCTTCACTTTACCTAGACCATACTATGTTCAAACACAAAATCTAACTGAAAATAACGTTATTGAAATGCAGATCATTTGAAAAATAATGCAATTTGACCATAGCATAAAACTGTAAGTAATGTAACCAATTTTACCTTTGTGTCCCAGGTCAAAACTCTGGGCTGTGTCTGTTCTCATGCTGCTCATAAAGACACATGCGAGACTGAGTAATTAAAAAAGAAAGAGGTTTAATTGACTCACAGTTCCACATGGCAGGGAGGCCTCACAATCATGGTGGAAGGCAAAAGGCATGTCTTACATGGTGGCAGGCAAGAGAGAGTGAGAACCAAGAGAAAAAAAAAAACCCTTATAAAACCATCAGGTTTTATGGGATTTACTCACTTCCATAAGAACAGTGTGGGGGAAACCGCACCCATGATTCAGTTATCTCGCACCAGGTTCCTCCATATGTAGGAAATACAGGAGCTACAATTCAAGATGAAATTTGGGTGGGGACACAGCCAAACCATATCAGGTTGATTCTGTCTTCTTCTCTGTGCTTCCTCCTGTTCCTGAATGTTGTTCTTGATTCTCCTCCGAATCTGGTATGCTAGTTTCTCCTCTCAAAATCCCATCCATATCTTCACTTATCAAACACACTAGTATTCCATTTGCAGCGCTTCTTATTCTATAGTTACCTTCTGGTGACTTTAAGTGTCACTGATACTTCTTTCTACAACTTGTTCATCCATTGAATCATTCTTGTAAATTTACTAAGCACCTCTTCTGTCCCAGTCCTGCTCCTTGCTAATCCTTTCCCTTAATACCACTAACGTATACATTCTATACATCAAATTTACCCATCTTTTCTTTCTCTCATTCTTTATTTTGCTTCTTATGGATATCTCCCCAACTCAACTACAGTTGTTTCACAGGAATTCAAATAAAGAAACAACTTATTTTCCATCTTCCATTTTGCGTAGAATAATAATAAATAAGGAGTATTTACTAAATACCTTTCGATTGGCATAATTAATTTCAATGAAATAGCATGTTTGTGCCACAGAAGCCAAACGTTACCCTGCATGAAGGGCAAATTTGAGCCCATTTCTTCTGAAGGGGTTGCTCACTTATTAGTACACACTGTATTCATGAACGGAAATGGGTATCCTTTTTAGTTTTATTAAAATAGATCATGCTCATTTGTAATTGTTAGATATATACTTAAATAGCTAAGCAGCTTTGATTTCAATGTATGTTTAGATTTAATTATAAGGAATAAAGGTTAAATTATGTGAGAACACACGCTGAGCTCATCGTTGGAAACTGGCATGAAGAAATCAACACATTAAAGAAGAGAAGAAATAAATGGCACTTTTGCCAATTCAATTTAATTCTACTGCTTTTCTAGTGAAAATTCACCTAAACACAAAGTACCTTACTAATTATCTAATCACAGCAGGAAAATAATAAATGGAAACTGTACTATTGTATTTCGAACTGCTTCACACTTGGCTCTTCCCTAAGGTATGTTAACCAATAGTGAGGTTCTAATATATTATCCAGGGGAAAACAAAAGTCTAAACATAGATTCCCTTTTCCTCTTCCCATTGAAGATAACTACAATTTGATGTTTTGGATTTAGCAAGATTTCTGGGTTCAATATTCTCCTTCCTTTTGCAATTCTTTAATGAAATTTTATTTATTGGTGCATAAATAATCTTTGTATCATTGAGTAAGATGTTAAAGCGAGTGAAAGAAAAAGCTGTTTACCTGATAAACACAAAATTCACTATATGTTTATATTCATGAATTCTAGAAAGATTGCTGAAGTTATGATTTCCAGAAGATTGTATTTTAGGAAAATGCCACTGGTTTAGCTATAATTAAACTTTTGAAGTAGAGAAGAGACATTGCTTAGAGAAAAGCAGGAAGAAATGTCTGAAGCTCAAAACAAAGGGTACTCCTGCTGAATCTTATTTCTTTAGCTACCTCGAGCAAACGATTCTCCCTAAAACCTAAAAGCCTACGAATTATATATTTTCCTCTTTCTTCTTCTCTAGCAAGATCCTTCATATCCATAGGCAGAAAACAGAATTGTTCAAGATAGTTTGTGTAAAGAACAATCTATTTCATGTCTGTTTCTCTCTCTCTCTCTCTTTTGTCCTAGCAATAGGAATAGCTCTTGCAATAAAGAGAGGTAGTAAATGGCCAAAATAGGTTCAGAGATGCAAACCCTGGGGCTGATATTTTCAAATGTACTCGAGATCTTAGGCTTCCATGAACTAACCCCCTAAATGTATAAAAGGCAAATGTTGTGATCTCACAGTCTCAACTAGAAATATTTACAGAATAATGGTTATCAGAGGAAGCAAAAGATTGTAAATGGGTAAATAAAATTTCTGTATATATTATTATATCTTTTCCTTGTTTACACACACAAAAATTTGAAAAAATATTTAAGAAACTATAGAACAGTGGAAAAACAGCTGAAAAACAAATAGTTGGTATATGTGAAATAAAAATGGTATCCACAAGGATCCAATAAGAGCTCCACAAATAACATCAATTATTGTAAGGATACAATTGATTGATTGGTTGGTTTATCAAGCGAATGCCATAGATAATCTTGATTTCAGCTGAGACTTTGACAGAGCATCTAATTATAATCACGTAGATAAAATGTGAAGCTCTATATTAGGCGATGGTGCAATTATGTAAAATTCACAACTCACTAAACAATTAAAGTCAAATTATGATTAGTGGATTGATGTCTTCTTATACAAATACTTCTAATGACATAACATACGATTATGGCCGGCAACATTTTAAAACTGATGACTTAGAACACACGGCAAATTTGTTTTACAAATCTAAAAATCACATAAATAATCAAGATTCAAAATTATTTCCCTAGCATGCTAGACTAAAACTAACAAAGTGGAATTGAAACGGGGTAATTACTAAAGTTTAAATTTAGGTAAAAAATCAATTTGGAGGCCTCAGATTGTAGTGGCTCTTGTGGAAAGATCTAAATGCATTTGAACACACAGACTGAGCCAACGGTAACACAAAAACTGCTTTAAGATGAATACAAAAATAAATAAGCATCAACAAAAGTTAAATGTAGCCTTAGTTGCAATAAACAGAAGTATGGTTTCTTAGTCACAAATCTAAGTCGAATATTCATATTTTACTTAGCTCAGTCCAGATTCGTGCCCTTGTTTCCTTTTCCCATACCCATTTCTTGTCCATTCAATCAGATGATAAAATATCTTTCATATGCAAGGTGAAATACCTTAAAAATCCATCTGAAATATTTTTTTTAAAACTGACAGCTGAAGACTTCCAGGAGAAAGGCAATTAAAATGATGAGGATCCCCAAAACCATGTCACATAAATAGTTAATGAAACCTGAGATATTTTCACTGATAAAGGGAATAGCTGTATAGGATAGACCCACACATTTGGAAGGCCATCATAAAAATTCTGTGTTGGCTTATAAGGTAGAACTAAGGCTAACAGGTATTAATAATCATCATCAAAAAGCAAACAGGGGCTGGAAAGAATGAAGAATTTTTTAAAATAATTTGAATTATTCAGCAACAGAAGAGGCATCCTTGTAAATATCCATATTTCCCAGTGTCACGCACATTGAAGCAGCCACTAGGGTATGGGGTAGTGGATATTCTTGAACCTCAGTAGGATGCAGCAAGTAGGTGTACAGAACTAAGTTTGAAATGTTGATGCTAGAAAACTGCATTTAAGGAAGCTACACCATGGGTAAAATATTACACACTGGCACATTTTCAAACGTGTATCCTGTTTATTCTAGGACCAATCAGTTTCATTCTCTTCCATTTACAGTTTTCTCCCTGAGCATGCATCAAGCCTGCAGGTCCTTTTCTGCCAGTTATTACTTACTTCCACCTTCAGGGGAACTATCTATTTATTATTCACTGAGTCCCTTCGAGGGATTTTCCCTCTCAGGGTTTCAACCCTAACTATTTAGCTTTAGGCAGAATTCTCTGGAGTTGCCTAAACTCCAATACACACTTGATTCCTTAGTTTCTGTGTTCAGAATTTCCCTGACTAGCCCATCTGTGCTCTAGAAATAGAGAATCTCTCGCCATGCTCCTCTGAATGGAGCCTACAATTTTAAACAGCACATTCTTCGGTTTTCCTTGGTCCTCTTTCCTGAATTTGTTTTTATGGATTTTCTAGGCATGAGTAATCCAGCCCTTTCAATGTAGCTCAATATATATCATTGACTCCAGCATTTCCTCTAAATGTCTAAGATTCTTTGTAATATACTCTCATTCTCCCGTCAGCATCCACCTTTAAGGCATTCAATTTCTCACCAAGGTTTACTGTCTCTTTCAGCAGAATGACAAATAGAGCCTTTCCATCTTTAATTTGCCAAACATATAGATACATTGAAGACAAAAGAAAATGTCTTTAAAATTATTAAAGATCAAGCAATAAGGAATAATGTTGAAAACTAACAGGAAAATTTAAATTACAATTATAGAAAATAGAGGGAAGCGGTATTTTCAAGGTTAGCATAAACAATTTTGAGGAATGATAGACAGAGTGCAATGAAGACTAGGGCTACAGAGAAGTTAATGAAAGTAGTGGTTGTAATAAAATAAATTTGAGAGATTAGAAGGATGTTTGAAAAGGGTGAAGACATCCTTATTTATGTATTTATTTATTTGGAGACAGAGTCTCACTCTATCCCCCGCACTGGAGCGGAGTGGTGTGATCTCGGCTCACTGCAACCTCTGCCTCCAGGGTTCAAGCGATTCTCATGCTTCAGCCTCCTGAGTAGCTGGGATTACACGCCCCCCGTCCCCCACCATGCCCGGTTAATTTTTGTATTTTTAGTAGAGACAGGGTTTCCCCGTGTTGGCCAGGCTGGTGTCAAACTTCTGACCTCAGTTGATCCACCTGCCTCAGCCTCTCAAAGTGCTGGTATTACAGACTTGAGCCACTGTGCCCGGCCCAACATTCTTAAATTAGGGGTAAGAAAGGTTGTTTTTCAATACTGAATACAGGACATTTGACAATTTTACAGATGTGTTTTACAGAATAAATTCATAAAATTTACAGAAAAGTTTCTTTTTACAGAAAAAGATTCTCATATTGCAGAAGGAAGGAAAACTTGCTTAGATACTTTATCTCATTTAAACCCACAGATGTGGAAAAAAAGCAACATGCCTTCCTGTACAGAGAGCAAATCACACACTACAAATCAAACAGAAAAAGAAACACTCACATGCACACACACATGCATGCTTATGTTGTATCCTGAGATGAACAATGAGAAAAACAAAAGGTCAGTATCTTTACTTTGCATCACTGAAATAAATGACAACTGTTTGAGCTGAGTACTCTCCTGCACCCGACTGAGTCACTGGTTAAAAAACAAACAAACAAACAAACAAAAAACAAAAAACCTGATCCCTGACTGACTTTTGCTTTTCTGGTTTCGGAAGATACCTGATGATTTTGCAATGCATAAAAAAAATAAAATAAAATACTGTTTTCCACTATAGGCTAATTGTAACCTTGGCAATTTTGTAATTTTTTTCCCTTTAAGTACATGTCAGATTTTTTTTAATTGGCAAGCAAGCATTCTAAAGTTGAAACTCCTTTGCAAAATATCTTGAATATAAATTAGCTTTCTTTTCTAAGAGATTTTCCCTTCTTTGGGTCTTACTTTGCTATTAGGGTAGACATCATCACTTTTTTTTTTTTTTTTAATTGAGATGGAGTCTCACTCTGTCGGCCAGGCTGAAGTACAGTGGCATGATCTCAGCTCACTGCAACCTCCGCCTCCTGGATTCAAGCAATTCCCCTGCCTCAGCCTCCCAAGTAGCTGGGATTACAGGCATGAGCCACCACGCCTGGCTAATTTTTGTATTTTTAGTAGAGACGGGGTTTCACCATGTTGGCCAGGCTGGTCTTGCACCCCTGACCTCAAGTGATCTGCTGGCCTCTGCCTCCTTTCACTTTTTATAGAGATGAGGAAACTGAGATTGTGCTATAACTTAATCATAATGCACAATGGATAAGCATTGGAATCAGGATTTATGTAAAAGTCTGTCTATACTGCTTACGTACGGCAAAGTAAACAATACTCAGCAGTTTAAAGTAACAGATTTATTATCTCTTAGTTTTTGTGGAGTAAAAAGTCTAAGTAGAAATTAGCCAGGTGTGTCTGGTGTAGGGTCTCTCAAAACGCTGCAATCAAGTTGCTGGCCCGGGCTGCAGTCATCTCAAGGCTTGAATGGGGACAATTCACTTTCAAGCTCACTTATGTGGTTGTTGGCAAGGCCCAGTCCTTACTGGCTGTTGGCCATAGGCATTACCTCCTTGCCACAAGGGATTATCCACAGGGCTTCTCACAACATGACAGCTTGCTTTGCCAGCCAGCAAGCAAGAAAGCAACAGGAGATGCATAGGATAAATGCGTGACTCCTTTTGTAACTTATTCTTGAAAGTAATACTCCGTCTTGTCTGACACATTACATTCACTAAAAGCAAGTCACTAAATCCAGTCCACATTCAAAAGGAAAGGATAATGGAGTGCGAATATCAAGGTGTGACAATCATTAGGTGCCATCTTAGAGGCTGCCTATCACAGACTGCAAAGTTTTTTCTCTGTACATGTGAGACCCAAACTTCTTGGATTGTTGTTAAATTATGAAACAACTATAGAAATATCCATGCAAGAATATCTGTCCTACATTACATTTATTAAGTTTAACCAATGAAAATGCAATATTTAATTTGAACACAGCAACACATTTCACTCTAATTTTCGTCACAACATTAAGCATATATATTTAAATAACTTAATGCAGTTCTAGTACAAAATATTAGGAAATTGAAGAATAATGACACTTCTTCAAAAAGCTGGATGGATAAATGACATATTTTGATTTGCATTAGAGGTTTGGGAAAGCAATGAACATTATACAAATGAAAATTCCAGGGAGGGAATGTTTCTTTAGTGAGATAAAATTTTTCTGTATCTGTTGTCCTCTTGAGGACATATGCCAAGTTTGGGTACAGGCTTAATTTGGCTATTCAGAAGAAACCTCACATAAAGAGAAATTAGAGAAGCTTTTAGTAGTAAAACAGGACTGATGGCACAAAGTGAAAACTTGAGGAAACTCAACTCTATGGCCTGTGTCCTCTATAGGAAACTAGCTAGGCTGAAACTTCTAAATGCAGAAAAAAAATATTCTGTTGTCTTGTGGTGCTTAGCACAAAAAAAAAAAAAAAAAAAAAAATACCTGACCAGAAAGAGAGAAAGGGGCCTACATCAACTATAATGACTGCTTCCTCTCCAAGCATATGAGAGTTAGGGGATTTCTATAAAATGAGGAGATGATAAGAAAGCCTGGAACACCTTAAAGGAAGAGCTATATCTGCCACAATTTTCAAAGAAAGGAAAATGCTTTTCATCAGACTCTCAATCAAATCTTGGTGATATATTTAAAACAACAGAAAACAGAATGCAATATTGTTAAAACAGAATGAAGGACAAAGAATTTCAACAGAAAACTCTGATCTGAAAAAGGAATTCAATGGACATTCTAGAACTGAGAAATACAATATGTGATATAAAGAATTTGTTGGATGAGGTCTGTCTCAGACTAGACAGAATGAAAAAAAGAAGTGGTAATCTCAGGAAAAATAAACAGAAAATACACAAACTAAAGTACACAAGATTGGGGAAGAATTAAGAAACAGAACACTGTGTAAGAGACCTATAGAAAAAAACTCAAAATATCTAACATTCCTAAAATTAAGTTTACTGAAGGAGAGGAGGTAATGGGGCAGAAGTAAATATTAAAAGACATATTGAATAGGAATTTTCTAACACTAATGAAAGGACATGGATATGTAGGCCCATAACCACGACAAGACCCAGATATGAAAAGCATGCACACACACAGACCCCACACAGAGATTTTGCTGATAGCCAAGAGGAGGAAAAGGAAATTGTAAAAGCAGCCAGAAAAAAAAAGATACATTGCCATCAAAGGAACAACAATAAGACTGGCAGCTGATTTCTGAATAAAATTATGGAAGCCACAAAACAATGAGATATCATTCTCAAGACGATGAAAGAAAGTCATTGTCAACTAATGTTCTATACCAAGTTGAAATACTCTTAAAACCTGAAGATGAAACAAAATTGATTGGTTCTAAACAAGGCAATAACAAAAAAATTCATTTCCAGCTGGCTTATATTAAAAGAGAACCCAAAAAGTCTTCTTTAGATAGAAAAAAAGTAATCCTAGATGGAAACCTGGAAACAAACAAAAAGAACAAGAACACTAGTATATATAAGTAAATAAACATAGTAGTATATAAGTAAATGAACATTGAAGGATCTTAACTGTACAAAGCAATTGTATGTGTTATAAGACGTAAATGATTTGTAGAAGCAAAATGCATGAAAATAATAATGCAAAGTTAGAAAAAGGATTAACAAAGTTTAAAGTTTCTAAGTTTCAAGCAACATGGGTTAGTAATAAGAGGTTTTTGCTGTTGTTGTTGTTTGGGACAGGGTCTCGCTCTGTCACCCAGGATAGGATGCAGTTGGGTGATCTCAGTTCACAACAGTGTCTGCCTCCTGAACTCCAGCAATCCACCCACCTCAGCCTCTCTAGTAGCTGGGACAAAAAGTTTTTGAAAATTAAACTGTAGTAAGTCAATGATGCATGTTGTAACCTCTAAGGAACCACTAAAAGCATAGGAAGGAAATATAACTAAGTTAAAAGGAAAATAATAAAGTAATAGATAAATGCTTAATTTTGCTAAAAGAAGTCAAGAAGCAAAAAATGAACATAAAAAGGGAGGCCTAATACACCGCACATAGCAAGATCACAGATGAAAATAAAACTACATCAAAGTAATTAAATTGAATTAATTGCAAATAACATATGTCAGAGGAAAGACTAAGACTATCAGATTAAAATAACAGTGAGAGCTAAATCCTGAACACAAGTCATTTACTTTAAATATGAGATAAAGACATGGAAGGTTGAAAGTAATAGGATGGGAAGAGATTACCATAAATTACTAATCAAAATAAAGCTGATATAGCTACACTAATATCAGAAAAAAATACTTTTAGGGCAAGAAGCTTTACTAAAGGTAAAGAAAGACTCTTTTCATAATGAATAAAAGTGTCAATACACAAAGAATATACCTAACTATAAACATTTATATACCTGATAATGTAGATTAAAAACACTTAACAAAAATTTATTGACAACAATAAAAGGAGACATGGATAAATTCCCAGAGTGTTAGATTGTAACATACTTCTAGCAATAAATGACAGAATGAGCAGATATAAAACAGTAATAATAATAAAAATTTGAAAACACAATTAATGAACAATCCAACTGAGACAAGTTGAATGCTTCGCCCAACAAGAACGAAATTCATATTTATTACAACTAGACCTAGAACATTTACAAAAATTGACCAGATGCTTGGATATCAAGGAAAGCCTTAACAAATTTAAAGTTGATAATAATCACAATAGGCTCTAGGACCACAAAGAACAAATTAAGCTAGAAACCAAAAATTGAAAAAAATGCAGGAAAATCTAATTGTATAAAATTTAAGCATCACACATCTAAATAATACATGAATCAAATTAGAAATGTCCAAAATATCAAACTGAATAATAAAACATTTAATATTAAATTTATGAGACATAGCTAATGCATTTAAATGCTTTAAATGCTTATATTGGCAAAGTAGGAAGGTTTAAAATCTGTGCATCTGCTGTATGTCTTTTGATTAGAGAATTTCATTCATTTACATTTAAAGAAATTATTGATAGGTAAGGACTTGACATCACGATTTTGTTAATTGTTTTCTGAATGTATGGAAAGTTTTTTTTCCTTTCTTCCTTTCTGTTCCTTCGTGATTTGATTTTTTGTAGTGGTATGCTTAGACTCCTGGTTTCTTCATCTTTTCTATAACTACCAGAGGTTTTCTCTTTGTGGTATACATGTCTTACAAAACCTGTCTCATTTAAAAGTTTATTTTAAGGTAATAACAATTTATCTTCAATTACATACAAAATCTCTACACAATTACTTCCACATTTTTTGCTGTTGATGTCACACTTTACTTCTTATATGGTTAATCCATTACCAAATTATTGTGGATAAAATTGTTTTTAAGACTGTTGTCTTTTAACTTTTATACTAGAGTTAAATACAAACTGTGCTTGGTGTGTCAAATCCTTTGCTCTCTTTGCACCCTCAGGCCAGAAATCCAAGACAAGCCATGCTCAGTATAATAGAGGCTAGAGCTAATTTTTTAAAGTTAAAAGTTTAAATCAGTGGGCAGAGAATAAATATAAAGTATTTATGCTGTTGTTGTTTACAGAAAAAGTAGGAATAGTAGTGTGAGAAAGGGTATTGAGATCACAGATGGCTCTTCTGTTTGACCCATAATATATGTAGGAAAGCAAATAAAAGGTATGAATAACCAACTAAATGATTTTAATTCTTTAATAGCTAAAAATGAAATATTTAGTGGCCAGATTTTATGGAGTATAATTTATGAAATAAAAATGAACCCATTCAATGTGAATTAATTTCTTCTTAAAGCAATGACAACATATATACATTAATGAAAATGTATGTAAGATTCACATGGAAAGTACATTAAATCATTCAGCTTGGTGCTAGCACCAAACAAATTCAAAATGTTGAATATTTGAAATGCATTGTTACCCAAGCATATTTTGTAAACATAAAATAATTTCCATCCTTTAAAAGCACTTTGTTTTTATATATTAGCTGTCATGCATTTAGAGGCAAGAAAAATACAAGATGAATGTGCTCATTTTAAAAGAGTGACCTGCTTCATAGCAGGCTATGTTATATCTCTATGAGTATCTAGAAAAAAATTAGACAAACTTGCTGTTAATTTGCATAATACAAATATATTCCTACTCTCCTACTTCAAATAGGATAAAAAGAGTAAAGATAAGGCTTACATTAGTTCAAATATTCTATTGTAGTTTACATGTTTTACTTTAACTTGACTTGGGATTCTTTTCTTATGATTCATTGCCAGTTGTCTCCAGTATTAAACACACACACACACACACACACACACACACACACACACACACTCTTTAATATTTTCAGAGCAAAGTTCAGCATGTTAGTGGTACTCAGTCCAGGTGATAATTAGTATGAAAGTTACAAACAATCAAAACATTTAACTTAGAAATATGATTGTACAGACACAAACTTCCCCATGTTAGTATATCAGAGAGAAATAATATTTTAGTCTCATGGAAAATATGAAAAATATATATTCTACCGATTTATATTACGTGCATGTGGATGTGAACGGATAGTATATGACAATTTAAACCAAATATAATGTACTGAGTTTCATTAATGGTAAAAAGACACTAAAATATTGGTTTATTCCATAAAAGCCAAATATTAGACTGAAAGGATTCCTAAATACAAAGGAAAGCATTTGTTATTGTTGTAAATATAACAAGCATTATAAAAAAATTCTCTCTATTTTATAGATGAGAAAACTGATTCTCAGATACTTTAAGTGAATTACCTAAGGTTAGGGATTCTGATACCTATGCCTGCACTCCAGTCAATCTTATAAGTATTTTTTTATTACAACAGTCAATATTTAGTATATCTACACTAAATTAAAAATAAAACATAATAAATGAGATAGAGATGTAAAACCTATAAACAAATCGAACATTAGCATTTCCTAAATTAAAGAACTTTCATACGTAAAAAAGTACTTCGTTGTTTAGGTTACACAAATGTGAAAGTCTATAGATGCTTACATTACCAAGCAAACAAACTTGTTTGTTATTGATTGATTCATTCAACCAAATAGAATGCTTTTGAAGGGAATCAAAATATGACACCCCATAATATGCTACTTTGACATGATTATTTCAAACTGAAAGAAACTGAGAAAAAGAAACATAGGAAGAGCTCGCAGCTATTTCCCTATCTACCTAAAAGGAGGGCATACATTTTTTTGACAATATCCTCTTTCTCCCCTACCAGGAAGAAAATAATAACCTTCATCACTGGAGATAAAGACAGCATTGAGTCTGCAAAACAAATTTTACTAAAATTTAAATTTGTTTAAAACATTTTTAAATTTGTTTTAAACAAAAAATATTTTTAAACAAATTTTACTAAATAACCCTTATATAACACCAATTTCCCAGTATATTTCCCAGTCACCTCCCCACAATTTATTTCTCTTAGAAGCCCCAACCGCTTTACCTTTATCTACTCACCTCCCACAATTTATCAACCTATGTTAAAATGATAGATGTAGCTAACAGCTTCTACAGGTTTTTTACCTCAGTTTTTGTGATGCCCCCATGCACATAACATCACAAATATTAAAGAAATTTCTATGACTTTTCCTCTGTTAATCTTTCTCTTGTCAGTTAAATCACAGACCTCAATTAGTGAACATGAGAGTAGAGAAACGTTTTTCTTCCCTAACACATTATATAAATGTCGGTAAGAATCCACATTCTGGGGTTATAGAAATTCTGTTATTAAAAAGATAAAGTGAATCATTGGGCAAAAATTGCTCATAGGTAAACTACTCAAAAACACTACTTGAAACTGTTAATATATGGATTTGATAGTGACAGCAGGCAGAGAAATTCTTTGTAGACAGGGGTGTGTCCCTGAGGAAACCCTACTTTTAAGCTTAAAAGCCTGAAAGTCACAGCCCAAAGTGAGAACTCCCATTCCTGTGGGCGTGCTCTCCCTCAATTGGTTCTTTCTGAAGAATGTCTTTTTACCAGTCTAATGTCGCCTTTTCCAAAACTACCTACCACCCACCTGACCCACATCTTTTGCTCATTAAGGCCCCAGACTTAGCTGGCAGACAGAAGTGGCTGGAGACTGGGAAGAAGTGGCTGGATATCGCGAAGAGGCAACTTTGAGACCGTGGCTGGATGAGGCCAGAAGAGAAAAGCAGAGAGGGGGCTCTCCCCTGAAGTCAAGTCCTCTAAGAGCCACTTTCACCACCCAGTAAAATTCTCCACGTTCACCATCCCTCAATTCATTCATGTGACCTCATTCCTCTTGGGCACTGGACAAGAATTTGGGATGCACCACATGCAGGTACCCAAAAAGGCTGTCACACCGCCCTTTTCCCTCGATGCGGTGGGCAGCCACTCCACACAATGAGGTAAGGGTCAAGGGGTGCATTGAGCTGACAGGTCACTGCTGTCTGCAGATGGCAGAGCTAAGAGAGCATTGTAACATGGTTGTCGGATCTTCCTGAAGTTTGCTCCCACCAGTGATGAAGTGGGCAACTGGTTTCTATACTCCTTCGCTTGTGTGCTCCCCACTGTGAGGGGTGGACCCCAGTGGACCAAGTGAATGGAGTTTGCTCCTGTTGGGCCACCAGCTGGCTCCCGTACCTGCTCGCTCCAGTTCCCACACTTGTTTGCTCACATGCTCCCTCCCGCGAGGGATTGAGCAGGGTGGGCCGAGTAAATGAGGCACCACTGTTGCAGGTCCTGTTAACAGGTCAAGAAAATATCCTACATCAGATTGTGATTTAGAAAGAAATTCTAGATAAATAATTATTATAACACTTAAATACTCAAATTTAATTAAACCACAGAAGTTTGCAGTATAAAGCATAAATTACAGATTCTGTTGCTAAATATTATGCCCTGAATTGGAGCCTACTAAACAGACATTTCATAATCTATCCAGATGTCCTAATATCAACTTCTAGAATCATATTACAAGCCAATGAAATACTTTCATGCAATTTTTCTAAGTTCATAAAAATGAGTTTTCATTCTGAAAAATAGCTATTATTGAGGCTTCTGGAAAATCATGACATCTTTTCAATGATATAAATTCCAACCACTTGCAAGCTCAAGTAACACAGTAACATACGTTACCAGATCTTGTTTAACCTAATTCTAGATGTAATATCTAAATCTAAATCTATCTATACCAGTATTTTTACCAATATTTTTAAGACTAACTAACATAAAGAAAATTTGATACAGATTCTTGTTTAAACCAGACAGAAGATTTAAAATTCTTGGCACATTTTAGCATTTGTTAGTTGCTCTTATCCTTTTTGATAATATTTTTACATAAAGCTGAGATAAATTATGAGCTTCCTCCTCTAATTGTATTTCTACTTTACCGCAAGGAAAACCCACTGTTATTCAAATCAATCTTTACTCCCAAAATGGTTGCTAGTGACACCCTGAAATTAGCATCTAACAGCCTCATCAATTCCAGATGACAAAGAAATAAGTGCCCCTATTGTATGATTAGGAGTTAGTTTCAAATCCAAAGAATAGTCTCGATTAATTTCAGCATATTTTGAATCTTAAAAAAGTTCATGTCTTTTAAAGAATAAGACAATTGTATGACAGATTCCTTTCTTTCACATCATATTTGAAACGGATACAACCTTTCCAGTTGTGCATGTGAAAATTGATTTTAGTATCTAGGATTGTATTATACTTCCTGTTATACTCAGAGTTTTGGAGAACTATTTTTCTATTATAGATTTCTTCGGTTAAGCCTAAAATTCATTATCTATAATTTTTTTTCAAAAGTCATTTTATGGCTTTTTAGGACTATTGAAGGAAAGCTTGACTGAAAATTTACAGGTCAAAATAGAGCTTTATTTCACTTATACAAGTTTATAAATTCTGGATAGTCCTCCTCATGTTGGAGAATACAAATTATCATATTTGGTTGCTGCTCAAATTAAAGGGGCGGTACATTTTCAAAAGACATCAATAAATATATCTTTTCTTCCATTGTTGAGGCTTTTTAAAGGGATGTGCACTACTCTATTTTTTTGGAATGGGATAAAATAGAAAATGAACAGTCAAAAGCAAAAAGGAGAAAGAAAATCAGGTTACAGCTTTAACTCATGGTAGGTTCTCTTATTAGAAACACTAACCCAAAGTGATACATTAAAATTAGCTGACATATATTTCAAAAATCTAACTCCAGTGATCACTATTTCAGTTTTTACCAGGGAGTTGTTTTATTTTCACCATCTTTTTTCTTTTGAAAGCCTCATTCCCAAAGACATCTCCTTGAATTAATTTTTTTTGAGCAAATTAGCTGCTCCTTTTTTTCAGATTTACTGTTCTAGGCCTCACTGTGAGTATGGGAAACAGGTGGGAGGGTTCAAATAGTAAGTAAGGTTGTGAAGATATTCTCCTTCTGAGATGATAGCCTAGGCCAATCTTGGGAAACTGAAGGTAAAGTTGCAGATAGAGTTGTGTGGGCTGAATTGTGTATTCCCTGCGAAATTAATGTTGAACTTCTAACCTGCAATGTGACCGTATTTGGAGATAGAGCCTTTAAGGAGGTAGTTAAGGTTAAATAAGGTCATAAGGTCAGGTCCCTAATCAAACAGAATTGGAGTCTATACACGAAAAAGGAGAGACACCAGAGATGTGTACACACAGAGGAAAGGCCATGTGAGGTCACAGTGAGAAGGCAGCTGTCTGCAAGCCAGGAAATGAGGCCTCACCGACCTTACCGGCATCTTAATCTTGGACTTGCAGTCGCCAGAACTGTGAGAAAATAAACTTGTCTTCTTCCAGTCATCTACAGTCATCTAATCTATGTTATTCTGTTATGGTAGCCTGAGCAGTCTAATACAGATAGTTGGGATTTAATCTTCACAAACGCGTAAAATAATGAACCTGTTGCAGAATCTTTGCTTCTTATTTCACCTAAAACGGGGTTCTTGTCACACTATCAGGGACGATTAGGCATGTGGACATGTTGAAGAGTGCCTAGAGCAAAATTTATTGGGTGAAAAGGAAAAAAGGAAAAAAAACTCTCAGCAAAGCGGGAGGGGTCCTGCTAACAGGCCCCCACTTAACAGATTGATTACCAAGCCGCCATCTACACAAGCTGAAGAGGCCAGGCTCCTCCCCACTGCACAAGGCATGAATTTCCCTGTGGCTCCACCCCATTCTCCCAGTGCACAGGCAAGCCCCCAGTCCACTGTGGGCATGCACAGACAAGATCCCGGGCAGTTTCCCTCATCTACACAAAAGCATCTGATGTAGCATTTGTGGGGCGAGCCAGAGATTTTCCGGGCACCCTCCTCATCTGCCTCATCTGCCTCCTGCATCTACTAAATCTACATACTAACAGTGGGGGAGTGTGGGGAGTGCAGAAGTGAGCCCTTCACTCCAACTACGCTGTCCTACCACCGTAATCCTTAGGGCTTCTCATGTTTCAATCTGTCTTCTTCCCTTCCCTTCTTACCTCGCCTGGGGAGACCGTACCTGGCTTTCTGGTGCATGAAGTCTCACACACGTTTTAGGTCCTCCCTTTCTCCATGAATTTATTCTTTATAGAAACTCACATTGATTATTCTCACTTAAAAAAATCCCGTTGCGGCTATTGTCTTTGCCTCCCTTTAGCATTTATTTTTTAGTGTAGTTTGTTTGATTCTATCAGCCCCCTCGACTGGAATTTCCCACAGGATAGTGATCAATGATCATATCTTCTTTTCTATTCCCCGAGGTTTAATGATCATTTGTTTGTTGGGCAATTTTCCACTTTTCTTATTTCTTCCACTTGATAAAACAGGGGATTTCTCTTCTTATAGATGTTAAGGCTTCTCCTGATATCCATAATTTCACTATATCCATATTATATGCAAAAGGGAGTTTTTGAAATACTTTGACCAACTGTTGTGTATTATGTTGAAGTTTAACAGTCTCTCTAATATTTGATGTATTTTTATATTCATTATTCTCAACTAAAATAAAATTATTGCAAACCAGAATGGAAAAGAATTCTAGTTGGTATTTGAAAAAACATCAATATCAAGGACAAATGATCTTCCTTTTTTTGTGTATGACCACCTTAAATGTTTAGATGTTAAAATTATCTAAATCTATCATATATGTGACATTTATTATCTGCTTAAATCACTTACTTGAATTTATTTTCATATTTTTTTAAATAACTGAGGCTATCTGTATGTTGAATGAACCAATTAAGCATAAGTTCTTGAAATCCATCAGCGTACAATGCAATGTCTTTTTTCGAGGTAGGAAGAAAAACATGTCCTACCCCTGAGGTGAAAGCTGCAAGTTCTATTTGGCAGTGTAGGGTTCTAGTTACTTGGAGAGCTCTCATATATAGTGGCAGCAGGGTTCTGTTGTCAACATAACCCCTGTAGCCAACTTGGATGAGATGAATTCCTAAAAATGTAGGGTTAAGATGGTAAGTGGCAGCTCAGTTGGCAGAAAAAACTTTGCTACCTTGTTTAGCAGCCTGAAAGAAGAGTGGACATCCCAGATATTTACATCCAAACTTGTTCTCTCTGTTGCAAAAAAAAAAAAAAAAAAAAAAAAAAAAAAAGCATTTGAATTTCACTGTCTCCTATATGGAAAGGTCTAAGAAACAAGCCCGTTGGTTTCCTTGGGAGAATATCACAAAAATAAAATGGAGACTGCAATATCTTTACTAATCCCCTAGTCTAGACCTTAATTTCTTTTGAACATTTTTCATAGTAAAAACACACAGAAGGAACAGATGCAGGAAGTTTGTAAAACTAATAATACTTCTTAAGTTGATATTGTTTGTCTTGTATTCCTCAGATAACCAAGAATCAGAGACTAATAAATACCTTTAGCAAGTACATGTACCTTTAATTCAATGGTTTGGGAAAAGTGATAACGTTTACAATTTCTCCAGTACTATCTAATCAATATCAAATTATTTCCAATATTTTCCAAGGAAAGTTGTGTACCCATTTATACCAGATATCTAAAAGTGATCATAGATATCTAGGCACTTCATGCTTGGCTTGACTAAATTACAAACCAACACTCTTGATTTTTTTAAAATGCACTTATATTTAAGGATGTTTTAAATAAACTTGAATAAGTGAGAATTTAACCTTTTGCACTAATTCTCCAGTTTCTAATAATGAAGTATTTGAACCTTATAAATCTTAGAAATCTAATTAGACAATGTTAAGTTCTTTCTAGCTGAAGCCACAGATGTTTCACACTGGGAAAATCAGCAAGCCCTAGGGTTTGTTTGGTCTAAAGGAGTGTCAAATTTTCATGGATAATTTAATAGCTAATAACTCTAATTCTTTCCCATAAACCAAGAGATGATAAATAATGATTGCACTAAAACTGTAAAATTAACTCTCCGGGCTAATGAAATTTTTCAGGAACCACTGAGGAAATTAATTTCTAGTCCTCAATGTTTCTTTACTGCCAGTCTTTCCAGAGCTGTATTATATCTCATAATGTGACAGGAAAAACACATTAACATCCCAGAATGATGCAATTCAAGAAGAATTACATATCAAGGGAAGCTCCAAGTATCTTTCATCTCATTTATCATTGACTAACCTATCATAGAAAAAAAGAGATTGTTCGATTTGGAACTCAGAGTGACATTCTTGTTCTTCATAATTTTTTATTTGTGTACCATCGAATAATGAGTTTCCATAAAGAAAATTATATGCTGTCTGAAAAAAAAATCTGTATCGGAGTTGTAAACATTTTGAGATAATTTGATGTGATGTATTTTAACTATATAACTAGTCAACTCAAATTGTTACTACGAGATTAACTTCCAAAGTTTTATTTAAATTATTGGGGTTTATAGGATTTAGCCATGACTAAAATGACTACAGACTTTAAAATTTCCCTTTATCTTCATTATTGATTCTATCTAAGCTGTAATATTTTAATCTTTCAGAAGATATTGGATCAACTAAAATCAAATCAAATAACTTTCGTTTTTAGTCTCTAAATGAACAGATTTCAAACCTAGAAGTCCAATTTAAGAGACCACAGAATTGTTCATGTAGCATAACCCAACCACAGATGTTTACATCATGTGGTTTATTCTGTCTGACCTTCAAGTGACCTTGATGTTTCTAACTTAGAGACAAAAGCTTTGCAACCCAAAAGGAATGAGGAAATAGCATACTTTTAAATCATGCATTAGCACTTAGCATTTGGAAATCCCAGTTGCAATGGCCAGAGTTAAATCAGTGCAGGTTTTTATTTTTTATTTTTTATAACTGAGTGCACCCAAACACAGGAGAACAAGAAGGCCCTTGGGTAGGTAGAGTATTATCTCAGACCCAATGTTCCTCTCAATTAATGGAACACCTATAGTGTTCAACAATAGTGTTTCCCTACTAAGATTTATGACTAGAATTACCTCATTGAAAATTGGCCAGTAAATGGCGGAAACTCTCTGGAGCCACAACTCTGGCTTCTTCTGTAGTAAGAGGAGGGCATTGAGGGATTTCTCTAGGCACCAATTTAAATTCTGTCTATCTGAGTTCCTGCTATTGATTTTCATTAATGTTGAGATGCTAAATTTGATCATAATCTAATAGGCAAATTGTGGACTAGGAAAATAAAGTGAATAAAAGATAAAGATAATACAGATAGTTTTTGTATTATGGTTTGCAAATTTTAATTTATGGGGGAATGGCATTAGACCCATGGATAAATCTGGAATAAAGTGATCTACAAAAACATGGGTTTTTACTATATGTAAAATCCTGTTTTCTTGTGTTCTTTGCCAAAAGGGTGCAGATACAATAAAGTAAATAAGACAAAAGCAGGATGTTTCCACTGAAACTCACACAAGTGCAAAAGTTACTGTATGATCTGCTACATATGGCTATCAATCAGGTTTCTAAGGTTTGTTTTTATCATATAATTTTAGCTTAATATGTTTCTCAGTATTTACATAAACATGTAATTGTATCTTTTTCGTTGCTTAGCCTCATATACTCAGAATGTATCATTACTTTTTAAAACTCTAGATATATTGGTTGTCATTTTTCTCTTTGTATTGAGAAATGTCAAATCATGTAAGTGACAAGTGTAACATGTACTTAACAGCCTAGTAGGCACTTAAACATAGCATGTCACATGTCACACTAATAAGCAGCCAACTCACTTATACCTGAGTAAAGGTGTTTTCTTGGGTTTTCTACTAGAGTTTTAACAGTGGGGTTTTCTTAGCATGGGTGAGGTGATGCTTTCCTTGAGGTATATGCCTTTGAGAGTTACCTTTCCAAAACCAAATGCCCTCTGAAAATGAAGGGATTGAACCTTTCTATTGACCCTGCCCTATCCACTGTAGGATGATTTGTAATCTAAAGAGGATTCCTGGATAGAATTTTAAAGGTTCATCAGTAGATTAATGTGTGCCACAGCATTACCAGTACAGCCAAGGCGAAGGGTAGCATGGATTATTTTTCAATAGATTGGCAGCTTTTAGACTTGCTTTAGAGATTTAATATTTTAGCAGGAGACTCTCCACAGTCCAGAGCTTCATTCTCATTTCCTCCCCTGACTACCTCAAGCATCCTGATACAGTTTGGCTGTGTCCCCACACAAATCTCATATTGAGTTATAGTTCCCAAATCCCCACATGTGGTAAGAGGGAGCCAATGGATGGTAATTGAATCATGGGGTCAGTTTCGCCCATCCTATTCTCGTGATGGTGAGTAAGTTCTCACAAGATCTGATGGTTTTCTAATGGGCTTCCCCCTTCACTTGGCTCTCATTCTTCTCCTTCCTGCTGCCATGTGAAGAAGGACATGTTTGCTTCCCCTTCTGCCATGATTGAAAGTTTCCTGAGGCCTCCCCAGCACTGCAGAACTGTGAGTCAATTACATCTCTTTTCTTTACAAATTATCCAGTCTCAGGTAGTTCTTTATAGCAGCATGATAACAGACTAATACAGTAAGTTGGTACCACAAAGAGTGGGGTGCTGCTATATAGGTACCCAAAAACGTGGAAGTGACTTTGGAACTGGGTAACAGGTAGAGGTTGCAACAGTTTGGAGGGCTCAGAAGAAGACAGAAAAATTGTGGGAATGTTTGGAATTTCCTAAAGACTTGTTGAATTGGCTTTGACCAAAATACTAATAGTGATATAGGCAATGAAGTCCAGGCTGAGGTGGTCTCTGATGGAGATGGGGAATTTGTTGGGAACTGGAGTAAAGGTCACTCTTGCTAGGCAAAGACACATTTTGCCTCTGCCCAGAGATCTGTGGAATTTTGAACTTGAGAGAGATGATTTAGGGTATCTGGCAGAAGAAATTTCTAAGTGGCAAAGCATTCAAGAGGAAGCAGAGCATAAAAATTTGAAAACTTTGCAGCCTGATGATGCAGTAGAAAAGAAAACCCCTTTCCTGGAAAGAAATTCAAGCCCGCTGCAGAAATTTGCATAAGCAACAAGAAGCCAAATGGTAATCACCAAGACAATGGAGCAAATGTCTCCAGGGCATGTCAGAGATCTTCATGGAAGCCCCTCCCATCACAGGCCCAGAAGCCTAGGAGAAAAAAATGGTTTTGTGAGCCAGGCCTAGGCCCCTGCTGCTGTGTGCAGCCTAGGGACTTAGTGCCCTGTGTCCTAGCTGCTCCAGCTGTGGCTTAAAGGGGCTAAAGTACAGCTCAGGCCATGGCCCCATAGGGTGCAATCCCCAAGCCTTAGCAGCTTCCACATGGTGTTGAGCCTGTGGGTGCACAGAAGTCAAGAATTGAGGTTTGGGAACATCTACCTAGATTTTGGAGGATATATGGAAACACCTGGATGTCCAGGCAGAAGTTTGCTGTTGGGGTGGATACCTCATGGAGAACCTCTGCTAGGGCAGTGCAGAAGGGAAATGTGGGGTCAGAGCCCCCACACAGAGTCCCCACTGGGGCACTTGCCTAGTGGAGCTATGAGAAGATGGCCATGGTATTCCAGACCCTATAATGGTATATCCACCTACAGCTTGTAGCATGTGCCTGGTAAAGCAGCAGGCACTCAATGCCAGCCTGTAAAGGCAGCCAGAAGGGCAGCTGTACCCTGCAAAGCCACAGGAGAAGAGCTACCTAAGTCCATGGGAGCTACCTCTTGCATCAATATGACCTAGAATGAGAAATGGCATCAAAGGAGATTATTTCAGAGCTGTAAGATTTACTTACTGTCTCACTGGATTTCAGACTTGAAGGGAGCCTGTATCCTCTTTGTTTTGGTCAATTTCTCCCATTTGGAATGGGTGTATTTACCCAATGCCTGAACCTCCACTGCATCTAGGAAGTAACTAACTTGCTTTTGATTTTACAGGCTCATAGGTGGAATGGACTTGCCTTGTCTCAGATGAAACTTTGGACTTAGACTTTTGGGTTAATGCTGGAATGAGCTAACAATCTGGGGGGCTGTTGGAAAGGAATGATTGTGTTTGGAAATGTGAGGACATGAGATTTGGGAGGGGTCAGGGGTAAAATGATACTGTTTGGCTATGTCCCCACTCAAATCTCATACTGACTTGTAGTTCCTATAATCCCCATGTGTGGTAGGAGGTATCTGGCGGGAAGTAAGTGAATCATGGGGGCATTTTCCCCCATGATATTTTCACCATAGTGCATAAGTTCTCACAAGTTCTGATGGTTTTTCAAGGGGCTTCCCCCTTCACTCAGCTTTCATTATTCTCCTTTCTGCTGCCATGTGAAGAGGGATCTGTTTCCTTTCCCTTCTACCATGATTGTAAATTTCCTGAGGTCTCTCCAGCCCTGTGGAACTCTGAGTCAATTAAACCTCTTTTCTTTATAAATTACTCAGTCTCAGGCAGTTCCTTATAGCAGCATGAGAACAGACTATTATATATCCTATCTGCTTTAGAAAGGGCAGCCCCAATACCTTTCTTGGACATGTTTTTCTCTTGCATCACAGTCTACTTCTACCTGAATGATCCTTAAATAGGAACTCTAGAACTTAACTTCTCCTCAATGTTCAGGACTCCTAAACCTGTATATTTTGCCATTGATTTAAATTTCAAATATGCCTAACATAAGACTTGTTATCTGTTCCCTCAAAACAAGCTCCCTCTCCATACCATTAACTATAAAATCAAATTTGTAAATATTTTGGTGGCAGGTAATATCTCTGTAATTATAAACACCTGACAGAGCATCCCACCTACTATAAAATACACATCTGTGATGAGTAAAATCATTTTATAGGGAAGGATATTTTAATGGTAGGCTCAGGAGTTTCTGAAATCAGTTTTTTTTTTTAAGTTCTTTAAATTCCATAGCCAGGAAGATTATAGAAACCAGGTTTCGTACATCTACTGGGTGGAAATTCAGGTAGGTTCTTTTGCTTATATTTCAAGGAACCATTTAACTACAAAGTGACTTGAATGCAATGTAGCTCCTTTTGCTTTTTTTGTATTATTTTATTTTACTTTCATTCTTCTGAATTTATACATAAGCAAATAACATAGCAATGCTACACTACATAGCAAAATATCTCCGGACTGCTTGTTTCATGGGGAAACATCCTAGAAATATGAGATATCTAACCCCCAAATCAGATCTACAACAAATAAAACTACAGTTTCAGATATTCCTCAAGAGATGTCGACCATATTAATTTGATTTTTATTTTATAATTTGTTAGATACACAAGATAATATAAATGAATTGGCCCAGGGTGTATCTTCGCAGGCTAAGGATATAGAAAGTCAGGCAAATTGAGCTTAAAAGTACTTACTGGTGAGAAGAGCAAGTTTTAGCACACATTGAGTAATGGCCTTTTATGTGGTCATTTGTTATGCGTAAGAACCTCAAAAAATAACAACAATAACTTGACAAAGGACAATTGAGCAAACCAAAAATGGTTATATATTTAAAAAATACATATACACTTAGCATATAATACATATACATCATATATTTGAATGAATTTTCAAAACTTATTTATAATAGTATCCTATAATCAAATGTATGTTCAAAATTATTTGTAATGTATTCATTAAAAGTAATATTATTTATATTTAGTTAAAAAGGAGTTAAAACTTTACACATACAATCTCCTTTCAAGTATTATAAGGGTTCTACGGAAAATATCTTTTGTCTACCGACTGCTGAGGGTGATGGAGAACTCACTATTTCCTGAGTGTACATACTACAGTTTTTTATATAGTTAAAATTATTAAATTTATTCTTCCGTATGCTTTTCCTAAATTTGTCTACCTGTAACACACAAATGCTCTTCTGTATTCTGGGCTCTATTGAAATAGTATTTTCTTAAGTGATAACCAGTCACATAGCTTACATTACTTATTGGGTGTTTTCCAAAGCTGACTCTTCTCCTTGCTAAACATTATGATAGCCTGGATAGATTTAAATCTCTCACCATTCTGTTCATCCTCCACTGCACATGTTTTAATTCTGAACATCTCTTTGAACAAATTGATCCAGAAAAGTAACATAATCCAGATAAGTTCTAGCCAATTCAGTAAATGGAACCATTGCTTTCTTTGTTTTACAAATCATAACACATCACCCAAAAATGCCTCTTACTTAATAAATTTTAAAAATATTTCCCTTTCAGGAAAGTTTCAGGTGCTTATTGATAATATTATACTAAATCAATAATTTGTCATTGGAGGAATTTTACTTTGTGCTGGGTTTAAAAGATGATGTTTTTGAAAAAAAAAGTCTCACCCTCTTTTTCTCCTTTCTTATGGTATTCATCTCAATACTTCCAGAAAATAGCTGGTGCCTCTGTCTTTGTCTTGAATTATTTTTGCTTTTTTTATTAAAAAAATTCTTAGATGTCAAATTACATTATTATCGCTAAATAAAGGAAAATAACTAAAGGGTGAACATGGTTATTAAAAATTGGAAAATAAATGTGCCTTACATATTGACTATATTTATTATTCTTGGAGACTCTTACTCTTCCTTGCAAGGAGGACAGATCCTTCTAAAAATTTAAAGAGTTTCAACTTTTCTGTATAGGATGATCGTTTGCCAAAGCCTACACACTTTGACTAGTCATGAGTTTTTCTTTTTTCCTGTGATGGAAAGAAAAATTTTGACAACATCAAAAGAGAAATGTTCTCTAAAACTTCATTGTTAGAAATCAGTACTGAATTGGCCACTTCAAATAGAGAATTTTGAATACAGTATGTATGGCTTTAGGATAATAAAATCCAATTCTGTAGAGGAAGGTGCCTTTAAACAACAACAACAAATAGTGCAGATATCAGAAATAAACCATTCCTTCCCTCCTCTTTAATCAGTCTCAATATGATGATTAGATGAACGAAATTGCCTTATAAAATATTCATACAATACAATTTAGAGGCAGCTTAATGAGGTACCTACAATTATTGCTGGGAAGAGTGACTGGAGAAATTCCCTTAAATTGCAAACAGAGAGTTGAATGGGGTGTGAGCTGTATTATAGATTTTCAAAACTAACTTCTTCCTTCCTTTGACATTATACTGAGCATTCCATACAAATCCAATTTTGTATTAGTTCTACTCTCAGCTTTCTTTGACTCTACTCTCTTTCTGCCAAACTCTTTTAGAGAAAAATAAATAACCATACAGCTCTCACCCATTATAGAATCATTTTGCCCTTAGTGTCGCTTGGGAATCTCCACCAAACCACCCTTGATCCCGAGAACTCCCTCCTGAGCAATAATTCTCATAAGTCAGCGTGCTGCTTACATAATTATAATAGTACACTTCACTTCGACAAACCTTTATGGAGAACCAACACCAGACCAAGTGCTTGGCCCTGCGGTAAAGCAACTACTAAAAATCGCAATCCTTGTCTGGGAAGTGATGCAGACCCACGGTGTGAACAAACCAAATGGTTTCATAAGTCACGAGTGAGCTCTCCCTCTCCTCTTCACTTTAAAAATTGCAGCTACCTTCTTATGTGACAGTTTTAGAGAAGGGGGTAGAGCTGCCTGTGAGCAAATGAAAGACCTTTGGCTAATTGCCCCATGGAAATCAGTGAGAAAGACTTTCATTCATGGATGTGTGGATGTATATTTACATTGTATAAATCTAGTATCTGTTCCAATCAATCAATTAATGCAATAATCCAACTTGAAAGGAAAGTCTTTTGAGAACTATTTTTGCTCTTTTTTGGTAGTTTTTGTCCAATTCTTCTGTTTCTATCCTCAGCCCAGCTTTTTGAACAGAAGAAGAGGCAGTATCCTCATGCTCCTCTTTGTTATTTATTATTTTCTCTAAAGCCATTAACTCTAGGGCTTTCTTTGAGGTGCAACATTTTTCTGTCACTCTGACTCCTTCTGTTCCTCTGTCCTGACATTGAATGTGTTCTTTTCTTCCATTCCATTTCCTCGGCCACCGCATGCACCAGGGCCTTATTAAGCTCCCACATTGCTTAACATATACTGGTTGATAATCTTGCCTTCCTGAGGCTCATTTTACAAGCACCCCACTGTGAGACTCAGCATATTAAACAAACCACATTCAGCACAGGACTCCACTCCATACTTTCCTATTTCATTGAATCTGTATTTCTCACTAAAAAGTTTCCATAATTCTGTCCCAGCAAAATGTCTTATCATTCTCACTATCCCCAAACACAGCTTTTTCCTGAGGTCATGCTGATTTATTTATATTCTCTGAACCTAAACTTCCAACTTCTTGGATTATATTAATGTTCTCATCCATGTTTGAAAATTTTATCCTGCCATCTGTAATGTACTTGTCTCCATTCAGATATCCAACAATTACTCCCAGGCCTGTTGACTGTTCTAACATCTTCATTGCCCAATACCCATATCTTCTCTGGCTTATTTTACACACACACACACACACACACACACACACACACACACCCCTGATTATACAATCATTATATTCAATGGTAATGATGATAATAATACCATAATAGCAAAGACATCTTACAGTATTTATAATATCTCAGTCAACTATTCCAGAAACTTTCCATATTTGGTAAGGATAAGAGCAAACATATATTAAAATAAGTGCAAATATATATTAAAAATAAGTCATCCTGTTGAAAATAAGAGAAGAGACTACCTCCTAACCCCTGCCTTCATCTTTTTGTAGAACATTCACTTAGGAAAACATGTAATTGTAAATTTGTTTTCTGTCTTGTTAAAATATATGGAAATCCTTTCTAGCTAGGTGAGCCTTATTCCAGGTTTAAGATCCAGGAATACCTTTCTCAGCTACCAGGGAATCATCTTTTTGAAATGTATTTAAGGAAGATTGCATCCCTATCTCCTAGTTTCTGTGCAAGGGCAGGAGCCTAATATATATATATAAATATGTATATAAATAAATATATATATAAATAAATATATATATAAATAAATATATAAATAAATATATATAAAAATATATATACATATATATATTTTTATATATAGTGTTCAATCTAGTGTGGCTTATGGTAAGAATGTTATTTTTTTCCATAATAGTAGAACTCTAGTCCTATTGCTCAGTTTCTCTCAAACGAGTTTCTACTCATTCCCATATGAAACTTTCCATGCATTCCTGTCTGTGTCAAAGTTAAAATAAAGCAGCTGTGCTTATTCAGTGTCTATTCAAATCAAGTTGAAGCGAAACTCATCCTTCTACAAAGAAACAATAAATATGTCAAATCTAAATTCAAAGAAAACTAAACTACATTTTTCTTCATTCTTAAAGTATTCAACTGTCATTGTCAATGAGACAAATTCTGCCCATCATTTTTGTCATTAAGTCTTTCTGCAAATTGAACTTTTGCATTGTTTCATTAGAGCCTGCTAAATTATAGTGTAGCATTTAAAAGATAGGCTCTGAAGTACAAAAGATGTTGGTTCCAAATTCCAACTACTTCTTAACAGCTCTATGACTTTGGGAGAGATCTTTAACTTCACTTTTCTTATTGTTAATAAGAGGAGCGTGGCCAGATTTAGCAGATAAATATGCAACCTTAAATACGAGGCTAGGCACAGTTGAATGATGCGTGAAAAGCATCAGTAGAATGCCAGGTACCTGGTAACTACTAATAAACATTGGCTATTACCATCATTACTATGTTATTTGAACACCCTTCTCACTGTCTAAGCCAGGTCTTCTCTTAAGTTTTCCTCCAGTTGACTTTGTGCAACTTGAGGTCTAGTGTTAACAAACAATTATATGGAATGCCCTATGCATCACAAAAATATTCCTAAATCCTGACAGCTCTAAAATACATAACTTTAAATTATCTTCAAATAAATTCACATGTAAGAGTATAAGTAATAGGCTCCAAATGCCTGTGCAAAACTTAGAAAAATCAGAAATAATGTTAAAAAATAAAGAAATGTTATGAACTGTTTCTATCTCACTGTTTATATTTTTAAGTAAGTATATTTGAAAGGTATATTTTGCTTAGTAAATGCTTCACATCTGGTACTTGATCTAGACCAGCATTGTGTTTTCTGTGGCATTTTCCATCTAAGCAGTGTTGAAATTTTCAGCCTCAATTATGCTGAGTAAAGAACACGCAATTTCCCCTTGTTTTCCAGGGGAAATTTTATTTCCCAACCTGCAGTAGTGGAATAAAAGCAAATGTGGTACAGGAACGACATTTCAATGACTATAGACCTGCTTCTTACTTGTCTGCTACCAGTAACTCTTGCAAAAACTGATCTCTCCTTTCTTTCAGCGTATTCACAGGAACTTACTTTCACCTCCATATCTTTCCTTAATTATTTGCTCAGTTTCTTGTCCCTCCCTTCCCATAAACGATCTATATCTCCTCCTGTGGAGTCTCCATCCAGGAATCCCCTTCAGTGGCACCCTCAGTACCAGCAAAAAAGCAAAGTGAGTTCTGCATACTGGTCGTGTGCACCGCTGTTGCGCTGGCTGAAGCCATTCTGTGGGAGGTGAGGAACAAGGTAACCAGCACCCAGGGCCACGTGAGAGAAGGAAAGGCACCTGGCAATGTAGGCTCTAACCCAAAGAAGAATTTCTATGGTGCATCTTTATCCATCTGCCCTGTTATTTAAGACAATTGTGATGTGGCTGCTACAGTCAGAAGCTGGATTTCTCCAAAAGAACCCTTTCCAGGAAGCTGATGATCTCCTCATATGCCAGAAGTAGTGAATTAATTTCCTTCAAGGTCAAATTCTGATGATCTGGACTTTCATTTGGCTTTACAAGTATTCATCAGTGTTAACTATTTTACTCCCTCTACGAATGACTAGTTTTTATTTTGTTTTAGTTTAAAATCACAAGTAAGGATAGCTAAGAGTAAAAATACCTTCTTATTTCTCTATTTCCTCATTTCTCTCTGGTGATTGATTTATGTCTTTTGATGCATATTTAATTTTTCTCAAGCCTGTGATCTACATTTGAGAGAGAAGGAGACAAAGTACAGATGTGTGGGGAGGTTTTCTCCAAGCAGGGAAAACATTAAGATTCTCTTTTGAACTGTATTATTCATTCCTTGGGTCTAGGAATTTCTTTCCACTACTTCATGTTCCACGTAAAAGTGTACCCCCAAAATACTTCTTTACTCATCCACTATGTTTCTATCTCCATGAATATAATTGTTTTTTGGACATAACCTGACAGAAGTGCTCAGTCCTTCCTAGGCACCACTTTTGGAAGAATCTTCCTTAAGTGGCTCTATCATCCCTGCTCCGGCAGGACCCTTCTAGGCTTTCCACTGCTACTAGAAGAGCATACTTCGGTAATCGACTTTTCAAATCAGTTCACAACACGAAAAATAGCAGTGGCCTGTGAAATCGGCAAATTCAGGGTTAGACTCATTCTAACTGTATATTTGAACCACCCACCAACTCTAGGGGCACTAGACTTTCTGTTTGAAAATTAGGTGATCAGAAGCAAGGATGACAAGACCCCTTTCTTCTCTACTCTTCCAACCTTCCCGGCACCCACTTCCAGGGCAACCTGGATCTGGTAAGCACCCACCCCTGCGAGGGCCACTCCTTTCCCCACCAAATGTTTTCTGATCGCTCTGCCCAAATTTATTCTTCTCTACTTCCTTAAGCCCATCCACATTTGAAATATCACCTTAAATTTTACCCTCTCCAAAGAGCCGCTCCTCACTTCTCTGAGAGGGCATAGTATTTGCCTCCTTTGAATTCCTGTCTTTGTTTATTATGACATCTCACCTACTGCCTTCTTGTATTTCAATCTCCTATAAGTTTTCTAATCCAACTTATTTATCCAAATGTTAAACTTCCTGATATAAATTGTTCCCTGCGGCCGGGCACTGTGGCTCACGCCTGTAATCCCAGCACTTTGGGAGGCCGAGGCGAGTGGATCACGAGGTCAGGAGATCGAGACCATCCAGGCTAAAACGGTGAAACCCCGTCTCTACCAAAAATACAAAAAAAATTAGCCGGGCGTGGTGGTGGCCGCCTGTAGTCCCAGCTACTCGGGAGGCTGAGGCAGGAGAATGGCAGGAACCCAGGAGGCAGAGCTTGCAGTGAGCTGAGATCGCACCACTGTACTCCAGCCTGGGTGACAGATGGAGACTCCGTCTCAAAAATAAATAAATAAATAAAATAAAAATAAAAATAAAATTATTCCTTACTTATTTTATATCTGTGCAAATTTTGTATGTTGTAAGTAGGTTACATGCATTATATTTTTAAATTCAAATTAAGCCTTCAAATTTTTAATTATAGGAGCATTTTAAGAACTTTATTACAAAAACAGTGAAAATATTCTGGAAAATTCAATACTGGAATATAGATCTGGAATATAGCTTGATATTGCCCTTTATTTCTTGTCTCTATCTCTGTCTTTTTATAACAGATTTCCCAAATTCAACACATTTTACAAGAAGATTATAACTCTTTCATTTTTCTCAGGCTAGGTCATATCAATACTATTATTCATTCTATTTCAATAGGTATTGACATTTTTATGACTTTATATGACCACAAATATTGTTTTATTTAATTGGGCTTTCCCAATATAATGAAAATACCTAATAAAAAGATTCTGTAACCTAGGCTAGATCTAGTGTTATTACAAAGTGTGTGTACTCTATTTGACCTACTGTCTTTCTTGGTCAGAATTTAAGTATTGGAAAGGCACATGTCTACTCCATCAGAGTAATAGTGCCTTGCAACTAAGGGATGTTTCTTTGCTTTCTCACCTCAAAAAAATCTCTTCCTCAAGGCCTCCCTTGCAACAGTGCACTTTTTTTTTTTTTTTTTTTTTTTTAATTGAGATGGTTTCTCACTCTGTTGCCCAGGCTAGAGTGCAGTGGTACAGTCTCGGCTCACTGCAACCTCTGCCTCTCAGGTTCAAGTAATTCTCCTGCCTCAGTCTCCAGAGTAGCTGGGATTACAGGCATGCACTGCCACGCCTGGCTAATTTTTGCATTTTTTAGTAGAGACGGGGTTTCACCATGTCGGCCAGGCTGATATCGAACTCCTGACCTCAAGTGATCCACCAGCCTCGGCCTCCCAAAGTTTTAGGATTGCAACAGTGCATCTTTAAAGAAGTTAGTTGGAAGACAAACAATTTGCTTATGCCATTTTCTGACTCAAAACCAGGTTAATTAAATAAAAGGCAAATCATTTTCATCTGTTTCTCAAAATGTATTTTTATATGTAATAAGAAAATAGTAAATTTGAAATTTATTGTGTTGTCTGACGTTACGCACCATTTTTAAAAGCTCAAGAGTTCCTTGGAATAAGATTTATTTTTGTCTTATTTAAGAACTTCAGAGGGTCCAGTCTATTTCCTGAAATTGGAGAAGCCAAACAAATGACTTCAGCTTTCTATTGCGCTGGAGTGTTCAAGGTTTAACTCTGAGTTAGCGTTTCGCTGTTGGGTTTAAATCACCTCTGTTTCCAGTTGCCCACTCTGGCATTTAGTAGAGAAGCTACATTCCAGATGGAAGCATACCTTTAAACTATAGGAAATAATGTAAAGCAAACCCTTGAAAACATCTAGGAAAAGAAAAGTCCCCAATGTGGAATTTGCATTTTTCTGATTTGGCCAAAAGGAGAAAGATTTGAAACGTTCTCATACTATAATGCATAGTAAGTAAAAGAATATAAAGTAGAGTGTTCATAACAAGGGCATGTTAATAGGGTGAAAGCATGCTGCAAGGCATATGCTTGTATGTTGGGTTGGAATTTTGCCACCACCATGGTGGCTGTGGGCATCTCTGTTCCTGGCCTCATATCTTACACACCCAGCACATGGCACATTCCCAACACAGCACACACACACTGTTGTCTCTTACTGCTTAATTATGGCTCATAATCCCAACATATGCTCCATATTGTCAACGAAAGGGAAAAAGCTGACTTTGATTTGGATCACATTTAGTGTTTTAAAATACTGGAATATGCTATTTTACAATGATATATGGCCATGAACAATATTTTTCATTTTTTTCTAATAGTATCCCTCTTAACGGATAAATCATGTTTTCCAAGATTAAATTAAATGGGTCCTGCTGTTAGAGGAAAATGTTTTTGTGCTTCTGCTTGGCTTTCTATATTAGTGTTTATTAAATCTTTAAAAACTTAAATAACCCTACAATAAAATTCAGGAATATGAAAAATTGCATGTGTGTATATTATAATGGATTTTAGTATATTAAAAAGGAACATTAAACCAAATGATTTCATAAACTAGAATAACAGAGCCTGGCCTTAGGTGGTATCATATAGTGCAAAATTACATTACCGAACAAAGTTGTTGGGTTTAAAGTCACTTCCTGAATCCTGTTCTATCCCCTTTCCTATCCTAGCAGTAGACTAGCATTGGTTATATGCATGCGGCAATCCTCCAAGCAATGGGGAGGAAACACCCTCCTTCTACTCTCTCTTATTTATTCACAACATTGTACATTTATATTTCATTTTTGATTTTGTAATGCCCTTCTACAACTATAACCTCACAACAATCTTGCAGCAAACTCCTCAGATATTATCATGTGTTTTGGATTTCTCTGCGCTTGTATGTTCCCAATTGATACCCTCCTGAAACACACAGCCTAAAATAGACTCAGCCTTTCGATTCTCTCTAATAGCATCAAGTTTATTTCCCTGAAGGCACCAATGTCCACTCCTAATGATCTTACTTTAATATTCATATATGTATTTATTTTCCATCCCCCTTCACTGGAATGTACAATCCAGGAGGCCATTGTGTCTTCAGTACTGTCCCTGCTGTAATAAATGAATCAATGTAGTAAGAAAATTTCTTTTCTTGTCCTAGGTCATACAATGGACTCATCTTAAAATAATAATAATTGGACCAGGTGTGTGGTGTAATCGCTTCTGTAATACCAGAAGGCTGAGTTGGGAGGATCCCTTGAGCCCAGGATTTTCAAACTAGCCTAGGCAATAGACTGAGAGCCCCATCTTTAAAAAAAAAAAAAAAAAAAAGGTAAAAAAGAAGGTTCGAGCAAGCCCCAAGGACTCCATTGCTATACTAAACACCATCGATAGAAAAACAAACTCAAGTATAGTAAGGATTTGCCAAAAGACAAAATATAAATTGTCTTACTGTCCTACATTAAAATTTTCAAATATATGAATGCTTGGAATGGACTTGTTCTGTTCATTTCAAAATGACTCCTGTGTGTTTCAGTTGACTTGACACTTCAGATTACAGTAAGTAGAAAACAAGAGTTCCAAGCTACCTTGAGAAGTCATTGTATCCTTTCCCTGCCCTATTATTAGTGTCCTGCTGTGCTGAAAAAGAACAAATTGGAAACAAACATTACATACTAGTCTATCTTTGTGCATATTTAAACACAAATTCCATCTCTACGCTATAGAATACATCATATACTGTTTATGAAAAAATATTCACTGCAGCAATTATGCCATAAAGAATATCCCAGGGACTGAGGGAAACAAAGACAACATTTTGAGCAAACATCTTACTTTTATATATGAGCTTATTCACATAGTAGAAGAAGGCTCTTGGAAGTCTTACACAATTTGCTTTAAAAATGTTAAATAACAGTTTGGCAGATGAGGCATTATTTACTTGTTTCTTGTTAATGTTCCATCTTATTTCAAATAAAATAATTTACAATATTAATTGGATAGACGGTAGAGTAATTATTATATTGCAAGAATGTTTAAAGATTATATAAATTGCTATTTTAATATGATTATCTTGCAAATAAATGAAACCTAATCAAATTGCTCATTTTGATATATACTGCCTTTTATGATTATTTTTAAATGATTTATATAATTAAACTTGCTTCATCTGGCAAACAACCATTATAAATAGAAGTGCAATAAAAGCTTCTTTAATAATAAACATAAAATGCATCACCTCCTTAAATAACTTTCCCTCAATCTTTGCAGCTTTTGACTAGAGGATAAATATGAATGCCATCACTAAAACCCCAATTCTTTTTCACTGAATCCAAATCAGTCTTCATCCGGTGCCCCCGCTACCCATTACTCTCAGGCAGATAATTCTAATTCCCCTGGGTGGACCCTGGGAGAGGCAAGGAAGGGACACAGCAAAATACTAAATGGGCATATGAGGGAATCCATTAAAGGTCTCAGGTTCCCTTGTAGCAAAGAATGAAATGTAAATACCGGAGTAAAGTGCTGGTGACCTCGAAGTACTGAGGACAACAGGATATGGGCTCTAATGCTTGGAAAATTATAGTCTCTCTGCATTTAGAGCCCTGGGACCCTGTCTGTTTGGCTAATAATTGCCATATTTCTCCACTACTGAAGCAAAGGGTGAGCAATGGGTAGCATCCTAAAGATGTTTAAAAAAATCCATTATGACCTGGTATTTGCTGACCCTGCTACTTGAACTAACAGGACTATTTTTTTTTTTTCTGACTGTACTGTTCCTTTCTACTAAATAGGGAAGGGGAAGATTTATGAGGGCATTTCTAAAATAGTTTAAAGAAAAATAGCTTTAAACTAATTGATTTATGCAAGACCATTGCTGTCACTTATATACAAGTTTGTGTGAGGAACATAAACCTCAAAAGCACAGGTGTCACCCCTGAGAAGGTAATTCAGAAATGGTCTCTGTCTTTTATGGCAAGGGAAGTATGGAATTTCACTAAATTGTCCTTTCAGGTATAAATTCCTGTGTGTTGCTACATATTCATGTGAAGAGAAACGTCCACACTCTCTTGATTAAATACTTGCATCTTAGTCTCACAGATTAACCTGCGGCTGTACCGTGAATAAACTGCCATGGTATCCAAACTGATTTTCTGCCTCCATTCCCTAGCTCTTCAATTACCAAGTACAATACGCCTATGGTTCAATGTTACCTTTGATCTGAGAAAAACAACAAAAAGCTTCTGAATTTATCAATGACTTTTCCACCCAGGGATTAGAAAAGCAAAGGCTTGAGGTATTGCTAAACTCTTCATCTAACTGTATTGCCTCCAGTGATCCTTATTTATTAGACTAGGGTAAGATAGGCCCTAAATAGAGACGTATTTTGCTTGTGATGCTTAAAGTACAGATAATGCAATCTGAATATTTGTTGCAAACAATACGTATCTTTAGCTTCTCTCTTAAGGTGATGTGAGTCAAATGCTAAAAACAAGTATTCATAGACTACTCACAAACCACTCATATGTTCCTCTCTGTTGACTGCACATAATGGAAATCATATTTCTACTCTAGTAGTATTTCCAGAGTTTGGCAGAGCAGGATGGGAAGGATCCGTCTATTTTCTCCTGCCCACGTTCTCCCTCCATTTGTGAACTTGTTTTCTTGCCCTCTCTTGCTTTCTGCTTTAGGGCTTCCTTTCCCCTATCACCAGCTTTACTCTGTTCCCTCCGCCCCAAGAACCAATCAGATGAGTTAAACACAGATCCTTTTCTGCATGCTGATACTGATTAGAATTTCGCACTAAGAATATTTCCCTTTTCCCAGTTATTGTAAAGGAAGTAGAGTCAGGAGCCCTATAGAGAAGGAATAACAAGCTTCAGTTTGGGGACTAGGCTGAGTTTGAATCTTGGTTCCATGCTTTTCTTACTATATGATTTTTGACAAGTTACTTGTTTTCTTCAGGTACTTTTAGCAAAAACAATATTAAATATGAGTTTTCTATGTGAAGTGCTCAGCTTCTGCTCATTACACTGCAAGTGATCAACAAATACTATCATTTTATTGCAAAAATATTTCATTCAAGTATATCCATCTAGGAGCAGCCCTGTAACTAACACATTCTGTAAACTTGAGAACTCGACTTTTTTTTTCCTCAGAGCCTAAATTTCCTTCTTTATAAATGTAACTTGGCTGAGCATGGTGGCTCACACCTGTAATCCCAGCACTTTGGGAGGCCCAGGCGGGCAGATCGTTTGAGGTCAGGAGTTTGAGACTAGCCTGGCCAACATAGTGAAACTCTGTCTCTACCAAAAATACAAAAATTAACCAGGCATGGTGGCAGGTTCCTGTAATCCCAGCTACTTGGGAGGCTAAGGCAGAAGAATTGCTTGAATCTGGGAGTTGGAGGTTGCAGTAAGAGGAGATCATGCCACTGCACTCCAGCCTGGGCAATAGAGCAAGACGCCGTCTCATAAACAAAAAAACAAACAAATAAATAAATAAATGTAACAGGAGGTGACATAAAATGGAGTAACTAAATAGTGGAGTAACTAAATGGAGTAACTAAATATTCTCTAAGATTTTTCAATCTCCATTATTGTAGAAAGTCTCAAAAGCCAAATCGGGAGACAGAACACCTTCGTTCTCTACGGTAAAGATTGCACCCTCTCTTTTGTCAAGGTTAACTATTTTTTCAACAATATAAAGATTTCAAAGACAACTGTGGTTGTTAGGCAACATGGGATGATCGACAAAGTAGAGTTCTCAAAAAGTACTACAGAAACATGGAAAAGAAATCGCCCAATTGTGTGGGAGACAGACCTTCACAGAAGAAGTGGCATTTGAGGTATGTCTGGGGGAAGGTGTGTGAGGGTGGAGATGGGTCGGGGGTAGGTTGCAGAAGCAACAGTAAGCGTGGAGAAAAGAAGGTGACAGAGAGCTAATATAGCTTAGAAAACAACACAGTTATGGATAAATCATGGGTATATGGAAGAGGGGTTCAAGATGAAGGTACAAAACTAGACTGGAAGTAGAACATGAAGAGCTTCTATTTTGTGTTGAAAAGTTTACTCACTAATTAAATCCCAATTACTGTTTTCTCTCAATGACACTACCATTTTCCTTGCTTTCTTTGACAATGTTTTTAAAATTATTATATTATTTGTATTCCTCATGCTACTTTGCCTCTACCCCACATGCCATGAAGTACAACAATCTATCAGGTACAGACAGGCAGAGAGGCACATTGTTATAAATAAAGATGGTACCATATGGCTACAGCCACCTAGCTACATTACGGAAGGCAAGGTGCTTAACCTTCCTATGCCTTTATTTACTTTTATATACAATGGTCTAATCACAGCACCTCTCTTAGCTAGTTGTTATGAGGATTAAATGAATGAACAATGGCACATAAGAAACTTTATTCAGCAATTTTATACACTTAAAAAAATTACAGTACTTTTTTCCAGAACCAGCTTAAGATGACTCAGTGAGTTTTTCCAAGACTCACTTAAACCTGCAATTTTTCATTTTTCGCTGAATTTCCGTTTATGTCTGTAGGACAGAAAACTATAAATGATCTATCCATGTGATAAGTTTAACTCCATAACTGTGTGTCCAATGATTCTAGCTCTTTCATTTAACGATTCATCCAGTGAATGTTTGTTGAAGGTTTACTAATTGCACTGGCCTGAGACATGAGTATAAAGTGATAAAACAAAATCATAGTCTCTGCCTTTGTGTGGCTGAATCTAGTCAAAATGCTTGCTTAGTTTACAGAGAATCTCCTCCTATATTTACTAAATTGGTATTTGCAATATCATAAAGTTAAAGGGGCTGTTATTATTATTATGTTCACGTTACACAGATGAGACTGAACCTTAAAAAACAGAGACATTCCCTAATTTCACAATCTATCTAGAAATGTTGGGCTAAGATTGAAATCCAGGTTCTCTCACTCCTCATGCAGGCCTCTTTCCATGACACCACACAATGTTTCTTATTCCTACATTACATAATTGCTATGGTTTGAATATCTGTCCCCTCCAAAACTCAGGTTGAAACTTAATCCCCAACGTGGCAGTATTGAGGCGTGGAGTGTTTAAGAGGTGAGTGAGTCATTGGGGCTCTGCCCTCAAGAATGGGTTAACCTATTTGTGGATTAATGGATCAGTGGGTTAATAAATTAATGAAGTATCATGGGAGTGGGACTGGTGGCTTTTTTAAGAGGAGGAAAGAGACCGGAGCTGACATGCTCAGCCCCCTCCACCCTGCAACATCCTGAGCCACTTCAGGACTTCGTAGAGTCTCCACCATTAAAAAGGGCTCACCAGATGTGGCCCCTTGACCTTGGACTTCTTAGCCTCCATAACTACAAAAAATAAATTTCCTTTCTTTCTATAATACCCAATTTCAGGTTATCTGTTATAAGCCACAGAAAATGGACTAAGACAACCATATATTCCTTGGGATTAGGGAAACATCTTCTTTTTTATATATAACATTTAACACAATGCTGAGCACTCCCTAAGGATACATGATATGCACGTCGAACAAATGCATCCTTGAATCTATTGGGTAGAACCTGGCGTTCTGGTTTCCCCTCATTCTCCCTTGTCCTACAGTTCCACAGGGCCCTAGATCCATCCTGATGTTATGGCAACAGGGCACTCATGTGTGTTTCAGAGTCAGTCTCTTGTCCCTCTTCCTAAGAGAGAGTGCTGTCTGTGAGTATTGTTGGTGGAGGTGAGAATATTGGGCAAGGAAGACATTTGAGATGATGGATAAAAACAAATGAACAACAACAGCAATATAATCTATCTTAAATCAATGTATATTTACTGAAGACCTGAAATCTACACTGTATTACATTGGATGCTAATTTACTGACACAGTAGGACACCAGCATTTATGAACACACAGTCTACTTAGTATAAATTGATCATTACATAAAATCTCATTCATTACTCACCACAACCTTATGAGGTTGAAATTATTACCCCTATTTTCCCCGAGAGGTTATGTAGCTTGTCCAAGCCCTTATTTTGAGGTGGTTGACTTCCACAGTACAACCCTATTTCATTGAAATCATCACAGTTAATACCTATATTAGTTAAAGGGGCATCGAGTGAGTAAAAATATGCAGTTTAGTGCCAAAAAAAAAAAAACTAGCAGAAAATCTAGGCTAAAGAAAAAAGGTAAAAATGGCTGTTTTAAAAGTTACCAAGTGTAAACTACATTAATCAAATATGTTTCTTGAGTGCCACACATTTAGTACAGCTGTCATCGCACACGAAGACATTTTCTTTGTCGTTAGTGTGATTATGACATTCATGGAAATACATAAACCCTTCGACTGTCTGCATGCGTTTAAAGACTGTATCAAGTCATAACAAGAAGCAGTCACAAGTAGCCTCCCAGATTTGCTCATCTGGACTTTAAGATCCCAAAATGCTTACTTTTTTCATATGGTAATCATGTTGACATTTGTTTCAGAGATTATAAGAAGAGAAATGGAAAACAGCATCTGAACCAGGAAAGGAACCTCAAAACAGCTGCTGGCCACTGAGCAGCTGTTGAACAAGGATCTGACTATTGTTCATCTCTCCCCACCCCCCAGCAGATGCCACTACCTTAAATAGCAAGTAATATGGACTCTGCAGTGGGTATGACAAACATCCTCATAGTGGAGCAAGACACATCACCACTAACGGGCATGCATCTCCAAGAAAAGAAGCAAAATAGTTCCAGGATCCCTGACATGCATGCACTTCAGTGTGGATCTTTTACCATCTTTATGGCAAGGCTGACAGCTATCTTTGGAAACAGCGAGCAATGAGGTAGATGCTAATCTGATTTATATTCTAAAAGGAGGGGCATCTGCTACTTTTTTCTTTGACCTACAGGAAAACAGCTAGTGGTGTAATGAAGCTAATCACAGGAAACTAGTTTGGCTTTGTGTGAGACTGCTAATTCGTTAGACTGCAAATTTTCCATAAAGAGTTATTTACATCTCACTAACCACTAGGTTCACACCTGGGGTTGGCAACACCTGGCAGTGTTCTTAATGAGTTCACCACTGTTTCCAAAGAAAACGCTGACATTAATAATTGTAATGTTACATTTATTGCGAGAAAAGTCCAAACATAAATGTGGTGGATTAGTAAAGGTCATTGCAATCTAACTGCTTTTGGTGCTAATGTAGCTTGACAGTATTTGCAAGCCAGGAAGGAGACAGAGAAAAAGCCTCCTGTGATAACTAGATCTTTCATGGCAATGCCTGATTGCATAAAGGCACCTGCTTAGGTGATTTTTGGCCTCAGTGATGCTTTTGGCATTTTCCAAAATGGCACCTGAGTTTCTGTCATATTCTATTCAGTCTGTTACTAAATTCTACTGATGCTTTTCTCCATATTTTTCAAGTCTTCCCTTAATTTCCATTTTCATGGTTGGCCAGAGTCTTGGCCTGACCTGCCTGAATACATTACTGCAACTGCCTCCAATATAGCTAAGTAAAGAAGCAAAAGTGACCGTCTTTGCATGATGTTGTGACTAATCCTGAAATTCACAAATAATTACTGAATGCCTGCTGGGTACCCAGCCCAGTGCTTGGTGCTTTAAGATCAGGCAAAACGTAGCAGGCAGTTTGTACTTTTCAAAAGCTTTTGATTTAATTAAGGTGACAAAAAGTTAAGTAACAGTAATGACAAAAGGCAGTTCTTGGGATGTAGGAAACAAATAGATAATACATGAGATGTGAATTCAGAGGACAGGATCTTTTACAGTTTGTAGTGTTCTCTTGAATTTCTTAAATTGTAATACTTATTTGTTATCTCAGTTTTTGCTTCAGTAAAACAAACCTACTTTGCAGGACAGTACTGTGTACTGAAAATAGTATGTTTTTTTTCCTGAATATCCTACTTTTTCATGCTAAATCTTCCTTCGCCTCCTCCATCACCATCTTTCACCTGCTTCTCCTGCTCCATGGAGACGCTTACTCTGTCTTTACTGGTTCCAGTCGTTCAAATTCACTCTAGTATCATCGTGTGTTTCATATCATTGCCACTCTCTATACTTAGTTATATTTTCATATAGCTACTCATCCTTTTGAATTGTTTTTATTAATCTAATAGACACAGGTGTGTTGAGGCTGGGCTTGTGTGTGTCATTTGAATTGCGTTAAATCAGCACAGCACTGTGGGCAGGAAAGTCTTCATTAATAATTCCCCATGGTGCCTCCCCATGCAGGACTTAATCAGTATTTCCAGGCGCCTGGATCCTGATTCTACAGGATGGATGGTAAGTCAGCACCTGCAGCTACTTAAAGCTGTTAAAAAAAAAAAATAAGACTTCTTCCCTCACTGCTCCTATTTGGCTGTTCCTGCTTCCTCTACACCCTCTTTTTATTGGAGCCACTTGCCCTTGGCAGGATAGCCCTTGAGCAAGGTCAACATTTCTACTGATGCTTCACAATTGTCTCCAGAACTCACATACCTTTGACAGGATGATAGAGGCAGCAACTCCCCCTCCCTCTGCCCTCTGCATTAGGCCAATAGCCATAGCTTCTCATCTTTAGACCAGATGAGTGGACATGTCAAGTCCTCAGAGTGGTTCCCTCTACAGTCCCTCTCAGTGGACTTGAACTGAGGGGGTGGCAACCCCACTCCTCCTCCTTTGTTGAGGCCATAGAACTCACATGACAGCTACATCCCTCTCCAGGTAAATCTGCATTATGATCTATCTCATACATCTTGATATCTAATATGTGATATATGTTTGGTGCCTAGATTGAAACTTCTTATCTAGAATCATGGCACCCTAGCTATATTAAAAAGCAAATTAGCCCAAGCATCATTCTGAGGGCAACCGTTGATTCACTGTTTAACTGAGAAAAGTTAAGCAAGAGTGTAGCTTAATCAGATATGAATTGAGATAAGGATATTGGATGGTTTAAACACAAACACTGGATGAGTTTTAGAAAGTGTTATACACACATACTGTATAAATAATGTGGATTTTTTTGGGGGGGAGTGGGTACACCCATTCTATAAACGAGGGCAATAATATACCTCCTCTTTTTTCTGGAATGTGAGACAGAACTGGATGACATATCTGGGATCTGAACGGTTGCCCAGAGATGATCCACCTAATATGTAAGAGTACCCTTCTCTCTCTCACCACTCCACACTTTTCTTCAAAAAAAGTTCAATGGATTGGGTGAGGATGCTGAATTAAAAACCTGTATAGGGATCTGTAGTCCTCTGCAACAACCATCACTTCCCCTTATATAAAAGTGCAGTTGGCATGCCTGAGGTCCCAGCTATGTACCACGGTACTCCAGCCTGAGCAACAGAGATCCCATCTCAAAAAAAAAAAAAAAAAAAAAAAAAAAAAGCACAGTTGGGGGTTACTATTTAAGTGTGAATGATTTAAAAGTAATTTCCTTAAAATATTAAAATAGTAATATCACAGGACATAACCAATCAAAATTTGGCAACTACTGATTTGAAATTCAGAATGAGGAGAAACTGCCTCTTAGTGTTATTATGCACAGTAAATTGCTACCAATGAGTAAATAGCATTAGCTATAATAACCCAACAATTCCTACAAACTACTTTAAATCTTAAATATTTTACCACATTTCATTTATAGAATGTATGTATGATGTTAATTCACTCTTTTAATAACTTTTGTCAAGCCATTATAGAATAACCATAACCAAAGGACATAAATGTTTAACAAGGTATCTATAGTCACCTATCTATCATTTATAACATGGATGGCAAAAGCACTATCAAACATTTATTAAGCATTTATAAATAATTTTATCCTACTTCCAGCATGTGTTATAAATATATTATTAATTCTTTCTAAATTATTGATAAGAACTCCTTGAAACTGAGTATGAGAGTAACATTTATTATGTAAATGACATTTTGTCACCCTTGAAATCCACATCCTAGGCTAACTATATGTACATCAGGGAGGCCATGGGCAGGGGTGAAGAAATACTATTTCTTGTGGAAAAATATAATATTTAAGTTATTGACAAGGCAAGTGCATTAGATATAAATTTCATAGAACTAGTTTTCTCCAAACTGAAAATTCTATTAATTGACCAGATGCTTTGGGAAGTGGCTGGACTCTTTCTATTCACTAAGGAATACTGAATAGAGCAATACAGCATAGTTTAATGCACTATATATTTTATCTATTTTGCATATTTGCTACATAGGCCATATACCTACACCAGAGAAAATATTCATTGCACTGAATGGGATAATGATGCATATTAAATCTTCCAAGCCATATAAACATTACTAATACACAAAATTCAATACAGTCTTAGGACATGACCAGAAATACCTAAGATATTTGGGGGAACTGACTCAACATCTCTTTAGCTATAGAGTGGAAACCATGATGGCCACATGAACAAATTGCCACACCTACTTTGATCCAAGTTAATATGCTATATTAGAAGGTGAGACTGCAGCCTGGGCGTGGTGGTTCACGCCTGTAATCCCAGCACTTTGGGAGGCTGAGGCGGGCTGATCATGAGGTCAGGAGATGAAGACCATCCTAGCCAACATGGTAAAACACTGTCTCTACTAAAAATACAAAAATTAGCTGGGTGTGGTGGCACATGCCTGTAATTCCAGCTACTTGGGAGCCTGAGGCAGGAGAACGGCTTGAACCCAGGAGGCGGAGGTGGCAGTGAGCCGAGATCATGCCACTGCACTCCAGCCTGGTGACAGAAGGTGAGATTGAGATTGCAGAAACATGGCTACCAAACTCCCAAACACACATTTCAGAGTCATTGGAAGTGAGGTGAGAAGAATTGAGTTCTAGGATAACTTCTGTGCCCTTTGACCACTTAAAGCAGCTTTGGACTTCTTCTCATTTCTTGACTTCTACTTCACGGACTCCAGAAAGCCACCCAGAGATTCTGAGCAAGGAAGAGTCTCTATACTATCCAGAAACACAAGCCAAATCAGGCCAGCATATTAAAAATTTATTTATTTATTTATGGAGACAGAGTCTTGCTCTGTTGCCCAATCTGGAGTGCAGTTGCACCATCATAGCTTACTATAACCTCAAACTCCTGGGCTCAAGTGATCCTCCCACCTCAGCCTCCAAGTAACTAGGATTACAGGCATGTGCCACCATGCTCAGCTAATTTTTTGGTGTTTTTCTTTTTTGTAGAGCCAGAGTCTTGCTATGTTATCCAGACTGGGCTTGTACTCCTGGCATCTAGCCAGCCTCCCAAAATGCTGGTATTACAAGCTTGAACCACTGCCCCAGCCCTAAAAATTTTAGAATCTTAAATTGAAGGTTTACATCAGAACAAGAATGATCCATTAATCTGCTAATGACCCATTAAAATTCAAAATTTATTTTAAGAAGAAACATGTTTTTTTCATGCTTTCCAAGCCTTTCAAAAAGTGTGATTTCTCTAGAAATTTTAAAATTTGTATTTTAGGTGTTGATTTATTTCTATAAATAATAAACAGTACCTTCTCATTGTTGGTACACTATTGTATTCACCCACTTAGCAAAGAAGTTGTGAGAAGAATAGGTAGTAGAATGATCTGAATTATTTGGACCAAATGTAATTAGAAAAGCTAACAAGAAGATGGCACAAAGTCACCAACTAAACTTGACCCTAAACAATACTTATTATGCAATCAAATAACATGAAAATTCCAGCAGAAGTTTAGAAAACTGAAAATATAACTGCACAAAAGTTCAGTTACATTTTGTTTCCAGGTTGAAGATCCACAATTAGACGCTATCATAGTGGCCCTGCTTCTTGGCTTTTATTTACTTTTACCTCGACTTTATGTTTTTTAGAAATCTTGGATAGGGCTAATGGAGATGATGAATTACTAATCCCTCCTTTCCTCCTCTCTACACACATACAACAAGGCACTTCTCAGTATCATCATTGCTTGCTGAATTGTAGATAGTATTTGATGAGTAAATTAATATCACATAAAGAAGGTAGCAAACATTCACGGGTGTCTTTCACCAGTGCCTACAATATATGCTCTGTCATTCTAGCAATTAACCTTGAATTCACTAGGGTCACACTCAAGCAGTGTAGTGAATAAAATGCTGTAACATTCTGAGCTTCAGTGAGTTCTTGGCACAGTTAATCCAGCTTGATGAATTATAAAAAAGACATAGTCCTCTATTAAGAGGCCACCTCATGCTCTGGAAACAGTTGAGCGGAGGAACACAAGGAATCTCGGTTCTAGCCAGGTGGTGTTGGTGAGTCACTTAGTAAACTTGCTGACTTTCAGCTGCATTTTCTGTAAAACAGTGCTAACACAATTGCATCTCTGAACATACCAATGACATGATCTTCTTGTCTTCCTTCTTCGAAAACAACCATAAGTAAGACTAAATTAAGGTAAATTGGGTAATTCCAGACCAAGAATAGAGACATTGAGAGGAGACCGACAAGGTCATACTAAAAACAGAAGTCTCTGGAGGCGATGGAGGAGCTGAGGCAGCAATGAATACCTTTTGGGTTTTCCACCTATGGGATCTATTTCGGGGGGTTCCTAGACCTGGAAACTGTCACATAGTGATTTCATTCTTATTCTGGTCAATGGTACTGTGTAAAGTAGTTGAAGACTGTCCTAAGTGAGTTCCAGTCCCTCCACCATCGTCAATAATGCCCGCCTCTGAGTGCCCTGCCTAAAGCCTCCTCCCTCGAGCTCCCATTTGGTTCTGCTCCATCTGGGTCACTCGGTCCTAGTGAGGCAGGAGAATAAGGTCTGAAGAGAAGCTAAAGCCAATTCGAGCTAATTTCCTAAAGCTGGATCAAAAGAAAGACACCAGGGACTGGGGGCAGGGAACCCCAGGCCAGTAAGTGCTGATTTCCTGAAGCTAAGTCAAAGGGAAAACTCCCAGGTCTGGAGGTAGGAACCTAAGGCCAATCTGTGCTGCCTTCCTACGGCTGGATCAAAAGTGAAAACCCCATCTCTCCACGCTGGAGTAACAAAGGATCAGAGGCTACTCTCCCTACAACCCCGCACCCCACCCCACAACATCTCAGATGAAACCGGAGCTTGCTTTGCATTGATGCAGGCCAAGCGCGGACCATCCCTTCATCCGCAGAGGACAGCAATCCAATCCGGCCTCTAATTGGCCATGGGCCAAGTCCTTTATCCACACAAGGGGTAGCCAGTAGGGGCCTCGATCGGGTACAGACACTCCAGAAAACTTTGTAACCAGGCCCCTGAGCCGCTCGCTGTGGCCTGCTCCCACCCTGTGGAGTGTTCTCTCGCTTAAATAAACCCCCACATTCACCGTTTCATTCCTTTGTGACTTAACTCCCCTTCACGTCCTATCAAAATGTCTCCATCCCATGTCCCAAATTCCTAGCCACAAATTAAGTTAATAAATAAATATCTTAAAATTCCAATCCTGCTTCGGCAGTATTAATTCCTCAACAGACCATTCTTAAAGAGGCAAAGTGCGGTGGCTCACACCTGTAATCCCAGAACTTTGGGAGGCCAAGGCGGGTGGGTCATGAGGTCAGCAGTTCAATACCAGCTTGGCCAACATGGTGAAACTTCGTTTCTACTAAATACAAAAATTACCTGGGCATGGCGGCCCACACCTGTAATCCCAGCTACTCGGGAGGCTGAGGCAGAGCATTGCTTGAACCCAGGAGGCGGAGGTTGCAGTGAGCCAAGATTGCGCCACTGCACTCCAGCCTGGCAAAAGAGTGAGACTCCCTCTCAAAAAAAAAAAAAAAAAAAAAAAGAGGCAAAGCGTTTAGCAGGAAAACAAATACTTTCAGGGAGCTTGATGGGCTAAACTCTCCTTAAGACAAAATTTTATGTCTAGGAGCAGGAATTTTACCTAGTATTTGGCAGTATATGATATGATAAGTTAGAACTCAGCAAAATGTGCACATCACACTTTAAGTAGCAGGTTATCATGCTTTTGATATAATGCCTTACTCACTGGGGCTACAGTTAATGTTGCCTGTAACTTCTAAGCTGGTGGACTGGTGGCAATGTGTTAACAGTATCATGTGCAAAAGGACCAAATAATTATTTTGATTTTGTGATTCTAAAAAAGAATATACGTCATTATTTATAAGTTAAAATTGGCTGTAATCATTACATTAAAAATAAAATAACAACCTTATTGAAAGTGATGTGCTGTTTTCACTTTACTGGAATCTGGTACCATCTTGAGGTTGGAGACATCGTCCTGAGATAACTGTTGGTACAATGAACTTCAAAGCCAAGCCCCACAATTACTGTGAATGAGCCTCTATACCTGAGCATGGCAGGAAGTCATTCATTTTGTAACTTTTGGAAAACTATTTGATAATTCAGATATCAATACTTCCTCTGAATATCCTTACAAATCTCTTTAGACTTATTGCACCATCAATTCCCAATTGCCTACATAAAAGGATTGTATTAAGCATTCTTTCAATATTCTAACTGTACTTATTTTGTGGCACAACGAATATACCTTTATTTTTCTTTCTTGCAGAGTCTGGAAAATTTGAGGTACTTCAAAATATAACTTTAGTGCTGCAAAACCCTGCAGCCAACAGAGAAAATCAAGGCCATTCAAAGCTGTACTATAATGTTTCTTATTTCAGAACCAGGAAAATATATAGAAAATTACTTCCATTTCATTCAACTTTACATTGCATTATTGTCTTCGCAAATGTTGCTATGTGTTCTTTTATATATAGTAATTGATATTTACAATATTTTCAACATTACAAAAGCACGCATTCTACCTTGATAGAAATTTGTTAAATTTTAGTTCCCTAAAATTAGTACATTTTTCATTAGATTGCACAGTAAAGGTCAATCTTTGTATTTCATTAGGATAACACAGCCTTGAAATGAGTCAGAGCAGGTGCAAAAGAAAAGAAAGCACAATTCATGAATATATGACAGGAGAGCAATAATACTAATTAATTTGGGGAAGAATGCGGCCAGATTATGCTTATGGAAGACTTAAATCTTTTAAAGGCTAGCAAATAGATGGCAAAGGTCATCCAATCAATGTAGATAAATAATGAAAGTCCTTAGAAAAAGCCAAAATGTGACAAGTGAGAGGGTGGTCATGTCATTCAATTTGGGGGACTTAAATATTGAAAAGTCAATGATTTGGGCATTATGTTCAAATGACTAGAGTAATGAAATAGAGAGAGATGAAGGAAAATCTATGTGTGCCTCTATGTCGCATGCCAGAATTCCCCGCTACCTAAACTATTCTCTACAGATGAAATTATACATTCTGGTTTATACATTATCTTATCACATGCCTTACACACCTGGTAAGAACATCACAAAAAGCATAAGAGTCATAGTGCTGGTGTTCAGTCTCCTGACGGATGTTAGCTGGGGCCAGTGTGGTTGTAAATAGTGAAACGTGGGCTGTGTGTCAGAGACTCTTGCCACTTCCACGTTGTCTCTGCCTCCCTAACATGTCTGATAATGATTGATGCATGAGTTTAAGGAAGAAGCTTATTGATTCATAGAGATGTAGAGTTTATAGAAATATCAAATATGTTTTGATAGGATCCATCCCCAAAGTAATGAAATGAAAAGGATTAGCATAGGTCATAATGTGTATTAGCCACAGAGCATTAGATTTCAGAGTACACTTGAGTTCTTTCTGTTCTGTCACTAGGGGGCACTGTGAGCATGGATGAAGCCCTGTGCCCTGGATGACCAAATAGAAAAAAACCTCCCTAGGGGAATTTGCGATGCCTCTTTTCATCCAACATTACGCGTTTTTTAATAACATAGAAATTGACCCTCCCTGTCTTAAAACCAACTTTCAGGCAAGGGACTGAAACTCACCAGATGACTACATCCAGAAAATGAGATGCCGGGCCCCTCATCCACCTTGATTACTTCCTTACTCCTCCCTAATTGATTTTTTCCCTGCAGGTAGCTACATTCCTTCCCTGATATATAAACCCCCCAACTTTAGTTGGTTGAGGAGACAGATTTGAAACTTATCTCCTGTCTCTTTGGCTGCAGCACCTGAATAAAGTCTTCCCTGGCAATCTTCCTTGTCTTAGTGATTGGCTTTCTTTGTGGCAAGCAAGGAGACCTAGACCAAACCCCCGGCATTTTCGTAACACCAGTTTCTCTAGAAAATATTAGAGTAAGACTGTATAGGCAGCCAAATACAGAAGAAAGTTTAGATAAGACATATGCAAAAGAGTTTGGTCAGATAATGTTTATCTACTAGGGCTTGGATTTTCTTTTCTTTTAGAACAAAGAAAGTGATGAGAAGCAGGAAATAATTTTATTGATTTTTTTTTTTTTTTTTTTTTTTTTGTCCACATTGCAGATACTGCACTTTGTGGGTCAAACAAGGTGATAAAGACATCCCGGAATGTGGCAGTTTGCCAAAAATATACGAAACAAGATACCACAAGCTTCTCTATATAAGAATCCAAGAGACTACATCATTCCTTAAGAAACTAGGATATTTCTAGAGAACACTCTATATTATTTGCATAAATTATTCCAAACTAAAATTATAACACTAAAAGTGCCCTCTTCTAAGCATCATTATTTCTGGAAAGTCTACTGTAGAAAATATTTTAAATAAATACATTAGATAATTCCCATAGTGATGCCCTTGATAGTACTCCAAGATTTGAATTATATATGCTCATTTATTCTTTTTTAAATAATTCAAGAGACAGATCAAAGCTTTACTTTTGTGAGTTTAGAATAATATTTTTTAAACTACATCTCTCAAGCTTTCTATTTTTCATGTGCTCATAAAAACATTTTCATACCGAGCATTTTAAATAAAAAAATAATTAGTTGAAGATCAGCATGATACTTGTAATATTTTGTTGAAAATGTATTCAAGTGTTTTCTTTGAAAATAAAAGCAAAACATAAGTGCAAATTTCACAGAGCTTGATGTACAGAGTAAATCACTTAAGTACAGATATGCTTGTCCTTTGAATAAAGGAGACATGGATATTAGGATGCACGAGAGGCTTGGAAACCTAACACTGAAGCCGGAAGCCCTGTTATTTAGGAGCTGGCAGATGAATAACCATAAGTACGTGACTACACTGCCACCTAGTGGTGCAAAGAATCAGCCTTCCAATAAGGATGCATGACTTACAATTCAGTGGCAATTTTATCAACAAAATTTTTTGTCCGTGAAAGTGCAAAAAAAAAAAAAAAAAAATCACACCAGATGGCTTGAAAGAGCCTAATAAGAGCAGTTATTGCTCTTTTATTGTATATTATTTCTCCAAAGCTTCATGATTCTCATTGATAAAAACCTCAGGTGTCTGCAGAAAGGCTCTGCAAACTCAGCACCCCAGGCAGGTATGAAGGAACACAAGCTTCAAGTGTCTTTGAATAGAAATAGTATTTTCTTACTGCTTGGAAGAAGCCTGTCTTTTGAAAAGTCTGCTTAGGATTTGAATCTCTGTTTTCCTTTTCTAGTTGGAAACCAAAGACAAAAACAAAAAACTCTTGGAGATTGTTCCAAATGCATCTTTCTTGCCCTCAACTGCCAGCCTTCTTAGGAATTAAATAATCCCACTTGTGATCATTCCAGGATTCAAACTTCTAATATTGACATCTCTGTTACAGGCGACAACGATGCCAGATTATGTCTGCAAATTAAGGTCATTTTAAAGGCCTAGGGAAACAGAAAATGCCTGGCAAGGGATCAAATTCTTCTTTGAGAGAGGGTTAGAAGAACCATTGCTATTTACTCATTGTGGATTTGTTTTGCAGGGGCATTGTTATTATCGCAGGCATCAAACCGTAGAGGGGAAAAAGCTGCAAACAAAATATCAAGGGAAATAACGACCATACAAAATAAATAGCAGGCACAAACAAAGTTCACAATGCCTCATGTGAACTTAGGAAAAACGCAGTCATGCATCCCACTTCCTGAATATGTTTTCAGTGGAGCCTTTCTTTCTTCTACAGCAAACAAAATTATTCCCTTCACCAGCAGTTGCCAGATTAGCCAAGAATATAATATTCAAGCTCAGGAAGAGATTACTGATGTGTCTATATTTAAGGGGGAAAGAAACATCTAATCTAAAACTTTGCATGAAATTTCTCCTAGGTAGCATAGTACATATTTTAGCTCTCATTTTTGTTTCCAGACATTGATTGCACTCCACATAAAATCTCTTTAGCCCCCCAGAAAGACACTCTGTTGGAAAGTCCATTTACAGTCATTTAATGCAATACCTAATTTTTCTGGTGAGGTAGCAAAACCACAGAAGAAAAGGGAGCACCGCTAGGCAGAGATGATCTAGAGTCCAATTCTCTTACTCCCTGGCAACTCAATTTTCACTGCATCCTATAGCCTCTCTGTAGAAGTCAAGCGTATTTTACAGTTTTCTAAGGAATGATTGATAACCTCAACAGTCTGAAATTAAACTGCACAGCAGACAGTGGAAGATGGTATTTTAAAGTACCTGGAAGCTTTAGTATTCACTATTACACTACACTATTTTAATAAATAGAAAAGCAATGTTTATTCACTTTAAATTCATGACATCTATGAAGTTAAAGGTTTGCACAGCAATGAACAATTAGTTAAATATCACACATGGAAGCTAAACAGCAATTTGTAGATTCTGTTGCGCAGTGCCTTAATTACTTATATTGCAACTTGTTTCAGACCACTAAAGACAGGGCTATCGAAAAATCCCCAGGCAATTAAGGACAAAGCGTGCTCAAACATGAACAGCTCTTGAAGAAATAAATGGAAAGATCAGGTTTTATCTATAATGTTATTAGGTAGATAAATCACTGGCAAGAATAAACCTATGGAAAAAAATAAAGCACAAACTAAGATTAGCCTTTAGAAATCTCCTTGGAGATTATGCAATTTTCCCCCACGAAATCAATATCAGTTCAATTGAAGATAAATTACAAGAGAAATAAAAACAAGACACTTCATGAGAAGTAATAATAGCATTGTTTCTTTCACTGCATAGTAAGATCTGATCACAAAGCAGTGACAAGGGTCGGGGGATCAGGTTATATTCGCTGGCTATTTTCTCACGATGTGACTCTTGGCTGTGGGGGACATTGTTGTCAGAATGCCTTGTTGGCACTGGATTGAGGGTTTAGTTACTTTGTTTATTTAAACACATCTTTAAATTTTCCATAGCTAAAAAGAGACTAGTATTTTGATCTGTTTTCTTCCATTGAAATATTTAGGCCATGTATTATTAATATAGATCATTGATAGAACTTTTTAAAATTGTCAGTGGATGTCTAGAAAAAATATGAAAAATTTAAAAATATTCTCTTTTTTGAAAAAGTACATTTTATTTAAAAATAAACCATCAAACCAATAACCCATGACTCTATCTACCAATGAAATGGAATCTAATGAACATGAGCACATAAAATAACACTTCTGCATAATAAATTTATTTCTTGTGACATGAAACAATTTGGAAATGAGATTTGGATGATGTGTACTTTAATAGGCTGTGATTATGACTGTGATTATGATAAAACCACATTTTATAGTGCAACGCCAGCATTAATTGGCCTCAGATACTACTTCTTTTATAGATATTGTATGATGTATACTATATTATTATTATAGTACATTAAACCGTAAATCCTTCTGAATAGGTCCTCCAAACACAGTATTCTAAACTGTTATAAGAAAATGACTGCCAAGAAACTTTTGACATGAGCAGTGAAAAGTATTTATATAGCATTTGGTCACATGTGTTTTTTAAGGATGAAAAAAACAAACTAAAATTTTGGAGATGAGAAATCACGTTAAGAAAGTTTTAACGTATCTGTGGAGATGGCACAATAAATGCATTTCCATTTTCTTTTAATATATGTAAATTAAATTAAATCATGAAAATATATATTAGTGTTGAGAGTGGCCTTAGAGTCTATTACATAACTATTTTTAAAATGAGGACAGGGAGGCAGGAGGAGCATTTATCATAACATTTCTACAGAAATTCAATGTGTCTAGCTCTACTCCTTGGCATCACAGTCTGGGAGAAATGCTTTGTCTGGATTGATTATGAACTTGCAAAAGAAAGCCAAGATGTAACATTTCTGAAACAATTTCTTAATTCTCTAGTGTCAGAAATTAGTCAGATTAATACTGCAAGAAAGTGTTAGGTGAGGATTTGAGGGACTCATCTAATCTATACTACAGGAACATTTTTAAAAATATGAACTCATGATGAGAGACTTCCGAATGGAGAATAGAACACACGAGTACAGAGCGGGATTGAGGAAAGAGTGGATCAAATATGTAGAAGACAGGCCTTTTGACTTTAGACCTTATAAAAGTGATCCTATTCTTAGAAGATAATTAATGGACCCTAAAAAGAGAATGCACTGAAGGGGAAATGGTCAGGCTATGCCAACGTTTTCAGTGTGGAGGGTGAGCAGGTGCTCTTTATGCATGAGGGTGGCCTGCAGTTGAGTACCAATATGCTTTGTTGATGAGAACAAGTATATACCTTTTGAACCAAATACTGGCTAATGCAATTTTTTTATCATTAGCACTAACTATTGCATAATTTAAGCAATGACATGCTAATATTTATGACTTCTGCTTATAATGTATATCATTATATCATAGATATGGTCATTATATCACCGTATCATTGCTTTATATGCATAAGTCAGATAATACATTTGAGGAATATAATCACACTATATAACAAGACATAAAAGTGAAACAAAAAAGGGGCAATTTATACATGGAATTCAGGTACATGAGCAAGAAGGTAAGAGCAAAGAAAAGCTAGTGGTGTTTCTGTGGGCTTAGCATTTTTTTTAAGATCCTCAGTATTAGAATAAGAGAAACATCATCAACAACACCTTTCTTTTTGTGAAAGCAAAATATGATTCATTAAGTAATGGAAAAAATACTTAAAATTTAAGCATCGAAAGTCAAATAGGCTAGGTGCAGTGGCTCACACCTGTAATCCCAGCACTCTGGGAGGCCAAGGCAGGCGGATCACCTGAGGTCAGGCGTTTGAGACCAGCCTGGCCAACATGGTGAAACCCCGCCTCTACTAAAAATACAAAAATTAGCTGGATGTGGTGGCGCACCTGTAATCCCAGCTACTCAGGAGTCTGAGGCAGGAGAATCACTTGAACCCGGGAGGCGGAGTTTGCAGTGAGCCGACATCATGCCATTGCACTCCAGCCTGGGCGACAGAGCAAGACTCCATCTCAAAAAAAAAAAAAAGAGTCAAATACACAGAACCAGGAAGTGGGAAATGGCTCCTGGGGGTAGAGGAATATATTTGGTGTTTATGCCAGAGGGAGTCACCTTTAAACAAGGATAGATCCATAAAGGCATAAGAGGGAAGGTAAATTAGAAGGGTTTCCAGACTTTCGATGATACTGCAGTCTGATATTTACTGAAAATTCAGGAAGCAAAGAACTAAAGACTATGGGATACAATCTCACAAACACTACATCATACTTAAAACATGATATAAAGCTTGTCTAATCCGTGGCTTTGGGCCACAGGTGGCCCAGGTTGGCTTTGAATGCAGCCCAACGCAAATTCGTAAACTTTTTAAAAACATTATGAGAATTTTTTTGTGATTTTTAAAAGTTTATCAGCTCTCATTAGTGTTAGTGTATTTTATGTGTGGCTCAAGACAATCCTTCTTCCAATGTGGCTCAGGGAAACCAAAAAATTGGATACTCCTGAACTGTATGTATCTTGTATTAGATTTTCTAGAACTTCTGGTTGAATCTAAGAATGGTACTGTTCCTGTGAGGTCACTCAAATTGTAGGCTGGAATTTCTGAACCAATGGATTCCCCGCATGAGAAATCTCTAAGTAATTGCTCAGATTCGAAAATACTTTCTGAATACTCCTGAAAAGATTACCAAAATTAAGAAACCAGCACCAATGTCCAGGTTTGTGTAGAAGACACTAATAATCCAACCTTGCATGGAGAAAATTCCCGGTCAACTAGGTACATCAGCAGCATTCTTGGTAAAGGTCGTCCTCTATGTTCATTGCTCAGGAATCTGGGCTTCATCCTTACACATTCTTTCCTGACCCTCGTCCGATCAATTACCAAATCTTGCTAATTATACCATCTTGATATCTCTGGACTCTGTCCACGTGGCCCAGTGCCAAATACCAATGGTTCCACTCCATCTGTATGAGGCCTTGCGTTGACTCTTATACCAGCCTCCTAACCGATTATCTTGAAACATCTCTAATCTAATCTTTATAGTCAGAAGGATATATTTAAAACACAAATCTCATTCCCTTTTTACCCCCAAGATCACTTCCCTTTGTTCCTTAGAAAAAATCTCTGTCTGTCCTAGAGTTTGCCTGACCTTGTCTCGTGTGGCTCCGGCTTACCTGCCCAGCAACATCTACGTCAATTTTCTACTCCCATTTCAACACTCCAAGCACACTGCTCTTACTTTCATTTCCTGAAACATCCCACTTCCCAAGTCATGGATTCAGTCCTCGCTGCTCCTTCTCATTTCCTGTCCTCAAACACTGAGTTCTTTTCAATCGATTCCTGAGTGAAGTTAAACATCCCTTGCCCTAGAGACGTTTGCCCTTATCCAAACAACTAGACCGTTCCTGCAGTCATGCAGAAAATGCCATATGCTATATTTCTTCATTGTCTTCATAATGTTCGTAATTGTTCAGATCTATATTCTCTCATTCCTTACAGGCTTCTTAAAAAAAGAGCCCGAGGCCGGGCACGGTGACTCACGCCTGTAATCCCAGCACTTTGGGAGGCCGAGGTGGGCAGATCACCTGAGGTCAAGAGATGGAGACCAGCCTGGCCAACATGAAGAAACCACGTCTCTACTAAAAACACAAAAATTAGTAGGGCGTGGTGGAGCGCACGTGAAATTCCAGCTACTCAGAGGCTGAGGCAGGAGAATTGCTTGAACCCGGAAGGCGGAGGTTACAGTGAGCCAAGATAGCGCCACTGCACTCCAGCCTGGCAACAGAGCAAAGCTCTATCTCAAAAAACAAAAAAAAAGAAAGAAAGAAAGAGCCTGAGTCTGTGTTCTGAACTCCTATATCCCTCACACTGATATTTTCTGGTCCAGAGAAGGTGCTTAATAAATGGTTCTTAAATAGGTGTAAGATTATTAATAACAAAATATGTAATATTGGTACAATTAAACATTTTAAAGTGATGGTTATCTCTTGTCCACTTCCTCATAAGAGGAAACAAGCCGCTGAAATACCAAGCATTGAAGCGTAAAGCTTAGGGGCATTGGTGGGATGACTGGCATCAAGTCGTTTGGGATATTGACAATGTATGACGATATTCACAATATTGCAATAACTGACAATACATGAAAACATTGATACTAGAAGACAATATTACAATACATGACAGAAAGTCAACCCTGGCAGTTTTCACTGTTGGTGGATTACCTCCAATGTCCAAAATAATATTATTTTGCAATTTGAATTGTTGTTGAGGGGATTAATGACATGATGCATAGCAAGCTTATAATAGAACTATGAATCAGGGTTATCTGATTCCCACATGTTGGAGAAGGTTACTAAGCTATTGAGCAAATCCAGTCAATACCAAAACCATCATCTGTATTCCAGTCATAATTTGAGACTTCACAATGGTGTCAGGAATTCTGTTTAAATATCAAGAATATATTGACACTGAAAAAAGAGATGAAGTGACTGATATGAAAGAAACCCTCTCACCCCATTACTTTATTTCCTTACTCTGTTTCACATTTCTTCCTAGTACTTAATATTTGTTTATTTCCTGATTTTGTCTATCACCACAATGAAGGTAATTTTAATGACAGCTTATTTCATTCTGTATCCGCGGTTCCATGAAAAGTGCTTGGCACAAAAGAGGAACTAAATAAGATGGCAACGAATGAGTACATGAGTAGGTGTTTAATGAATATAGGCTTAATAAAGGAAGAATCAGCAAGGTAGGTGTGGGCCCGTCATTCATCATTTGTTAGAAAGTGGGCGAAGATACTTGGAAGGATGTTTTAAAAGCTGGCACAAGGCTGTAATGAGCAGGAGGAACTCGGCGGGGAGGGTATCTAGAGTTTATGATACTCACACTGTACTGCTATACTCCACATCACACCCAGATACTCTAGAGTAAGATCCAGGAAGGAGGACTGAGGCTACATGAAGCCAGGTGAGAAAGAAAGAAGCCCACTGGCCATTTCTTTAACACTAAGGAAGCTCATTCTATTGATGAACATTCAGCCATACAGTAAAGGAATATAGAGGATTTGCATTTTTCTCTGGTAAGAGATGAAAGTTCTCTTTCCCAGCAGGGCTAAAACAAGGGTAAGGCAAATGAAGAACGTGCCTCAGACAGAAAAATGCCCCCTTATATTTTGTATCTCACTCACCTCACCCGTCTCCGCCCTGTTCCACAACTCCTGAGGTTGATTAGCGTAGGTTATATTTATTTTATTTGTTGTTTTCTTGAGACAGGATCTTGCTCTGTGGCCCAGGCTGGATTGCAATGGCATGATCATGCCTCACTGAGCCTCAACCTCCTCGGTTCAAGCCCGAATATCTGGGACTACAGGCCCAGCTAAGTTTTGTATATTTTGTAGAAACGGGGTTTCACCAAAATATATAATAACCAGGTTGCCCAGGCTGGTCTCGAACTCTGGTCTCAAGTGATCTGCCTGCCTCGGCCTCCCAGAGTGCTAGGATTACAGGCATGAGCCACTGCACCTGGCCAGCAGCAGATTATAAAGCACAACTTTGCTGGAGGTCTACCTCTACCTCCTTGAAAGGAACCTAGAATCCATCCAAGGTCTGGGGACAGTAAGGAGTGCCTTTCAGATTTTAAGGCCCTGCACAATACAGAATTCAATCAGCCACTAACTGTCTGAGTGCTTGCTTGGAGTTTATAATATGGGGACATAAGGCTGGTATACGGAGGCTCACCAGGAATCGCTCAATGTGCACTTGAAATTCCATGATAATTAAATGAAAGATTCCAAACTGTAGCCCCAGTTGCACACATTTATCGTGAGGAAAGTGAACACCTAACATTTTCTCCGCAACGCCTGATATCTGCGGATGAACCCTGGATTATTAAATAATGGCCTCAGGCTAGCAAATGAACTACGCACTTTGCCATCTTATTATTATAGTTTGCTTGCCTTAAATAAACTTCAATGTAGACATTCGTGTTCTTATTTGGCTTGGAGAAGATAAGTGTATGAATTTGCGGTGTGGCAACCTTTCTCATTTTCAAAAAGAAACAAAAAACAACCCCAATGTCGCGATTTCACCTTTTGCATACTTCCTTTAAGAACATCCAGTTTCATCACATAATCTACACACTGTCCTCCTCCCACAGAAATGACAGCAGCAATTCTGTGACAGAACATATAAACGTGGGAAAAACATCTGTGTGTATAAATTCTTCCTAGGTGCTCTTGGACTGAACCCAAGAACATAGCACCACAGCAGGCAGATGTAAGCCTATAAAGCATGGTCACAGAAGATAATTGCTGTTAATAATTCATTAAGAACTATTCCTTTCTCTTTCTGGAAACGTATTCACCACTTCAACCATTTTCATCAAGCTTTATAATTGGATGTGGAGAAAGGGCACACAGGATTTTATGAGCAATAACAACTAACATTTGTACAGCATTTTACAATTTGCAAAGCAGTTTTCATAAACATAATTCACTCCTTACTGCCTCAGTAGTAGTTAGGTGTTATTAAGATAATCTACATTTTCCTAATGAGGAATCTGAGTTGGCAAGATTATAAATGTCATTCATGGCTATGGGAGTAAACCCAAATAAAATGTTTGGAATGCACAGAGATTTGTTGTTTACATAAGGAGTAGTCCAAAATTAGGCAGGAGCTAGTGCTGGTTCATTTACCCATTCCACGATGTCAGCTCCAAAGTCTCAGAAATTCTTTCTTGTCCTCATGGCTATGGAATGGCTGCATTCCAGGATGAAGGTGGTGGAAGAGGAAGATAAAGGAGCTCAGAAAAACCAAAGCTTGCCCAGAACTACATGGGAGATCTTTGTCCCTGTCTCGTTTCACAGGCTGTTATGCAGCCACTCCTCTGAAAGGCGGCAATGGAAAGGAGATTAGATGAAACAAGTGCAATCTCTCCTACATAGTATAATGAAATTTTAATTTCCATTCTCTTACTCCAGAGCTCAGTCCTCTCTATCTACAATAGACAACACATCAATGGGAAGGGGGTCTGTGTCTGTATAGTTTGTACACATGCTTTTGTGTTTGCAAATAACTATGAAGCTTATGATATACAGGGGAGATAAGGACTTTGCCATGAGATTGAAAAACATCTAAGTACTTGTTTAAAAAAAAACAAATGAATTGTTGCTTACACTTGAACTTCTTTAATTCTTATTTCAATGCTCCCAGTCATTGAAGAACAATTTGCACCCAAGATTTCCAATACTGTAGCTATATAATTGTAATTCAAGTAATACACATCTATCATTAATCTTTTAACTATATTTGAATTCTTCAATCCCATCTGATTGCAGAACATTTCCAAGTAAATTGCTCACTATCTTAAATTCATTGTATCTAAAACAATGTCCCATGCTGTCTGTAAAACTTCACTTCCAAACCTTCTTAAAATCTTCCCGTGAAGCCACTATACTCATAGAGCTCAATCAAAAAGTGAAGTCACAAGCCAGGCACAGTGGCTCACGTCTGTTATCCTAGCACTCTGGGAGGCTGAGGAAGGAGGATCTCTTGAGGTCAGGAGTTTGAGACCAGCCTAGCCAACACGGGGAAACCCTGTCTCTACTAAAAATACAAATATTAGCTGGGCATGGTAGTGCATGTCTGTAATCCCAGCTACTTGGGAGGCTGAGGTAGGAGAATTTCTTGAACTTGGGAGGCAGAGGTTGCAGTGAGCTAAGGTCATACTACTGCTCTCCAGCCTGAGTGACAGAGCGAGACTTTGTCTCAGAAAAAAAAAAAAGGTGGAAAAAAAAAGTGAAGTCTAATTTGTTGAAAATTCAAGCAACATGCTTTGTGGCCAATATGCTTATTGTTCACTTCCCAGGCATTGTGCTAGGTGCTGTAGCCATAACGGGAAGCAGACTTAACACATTATAGATTTGTTACATTTTCCCTATTTGGGTCCTTATTGCATTAAACACACGTATGTTATTGCAAAAGATTCCACCTTCTTTTTTCCACTCCACATGCTAACAACAGAATCAACTTTCTAAAAGATTGTATCTATTATGCTTGTTTCAGTTTCAATAAATTACAGTGTTTCTGCAGCACCAACAGCTTTCATTTTAAACTGCTATGCTCTTCTGTGCAATAAAGGATTAATCTCACACAGAGAGTGGTCTGGCCTTTGTCCTCAGCTCCTAGGTGGTGATCTCTAGGTCACTACAATGTCCTGCCTGGGATGAGTGTCTCTTTGCTTGGAAGCTTCGCTATAGGACAGTCTAAAAACGTGATTTATGATGGGGGCTTTGGGACACACCAAATCAGCTCCAACCTCCAGAGGAACTGGAGATTAAGTATTGGCTCAAACTTCCAGGAAGGGCTGGAAACCAAAGGTCAGTCATGTGAGCAGTATGTGATATAGCTAGAAGGAAAAGTGGACGCCAGTGGCTTGGGTGGGGGTCCCCAAAGGGTCATGGTCAGAAGAGGTAACTGCCCATAGCTCCATGGCGAGGATGACTGGAAGCCCTTCCTCCTAGAGTATGCATCCCTCCTAGACTGCCCTATTCAGCCTCGTCTTCAGCTGGTTCTAATTTGTATCATTTTTCTGTAATAAACCTGACTGTGCATATATTTGAGCCACAGGGATTTCTATTGCGAGTCCATTTACATGAGGGTTTTTTTCAACAAATGCTCGGCCCCTCCTATCCAACAGGTTCTGCATCCATAACCCAGTGCAGATGAAGAATACAGTATTCCCAGGATAAGAAACCCACAGATACAGAGGGCTGACTTTTTGTATGTGCAAGTTCTGCGGGAGCACTGTGGGGACTTGAGTATGAGTGGATTTTGGTGTCTTCAGGCATCCTGGAACCAATCCCCCATGGATACTGAGGGTCAACTGTAATAGCTTCTGGTGAGCTCTGTGAGTCTTTCTAACAAATTAGCAAATGTGAAGGTGTCAGTGGGGGAACGCCTGACTTTGTACCAGCTGGTATGAAGATGGTCCTGAGACCCTCGAACTTGAGTTGGTGTCTGAAGGGATGGAGTCTGGTGGGGATGGCGCCCTCCGGCTGTGCAGTTTGTTTCTCATTGCATATCCTTTCTGCAAACTCCTGGCTTTCCTCCCCAGGCTTCTCTGCTGCATAGTTCAGTCTTGTTTCTCTTCCTAATATTCTCCCCTTACCCTGGGGTTGTTTATAACCCTTCCCTTCTTTCTCCAAATCTTCCACACTTTCAAGGAAAATGTCAAGTCCTGCCTCCTTCATGAAGCTTCTTTTCACCAGAAGACTAAATGTACATTGATGGAGCCTCAACTAGCAGGTGAGTTTTGTTTTTGTTTTTATAAACAGTAACTTTTATTTGAAGTTTAGGTGTACATGTGCAGGAGGAGCAGGTTTGTTACATAGGTAAACTTGTAACATGGCGTTTGTTGAATACGTTATTTCATCACCCAGGTATTAAGCCTAGTATCATTTAGTAATTTTTCCTGAGCCTCCCCCTCTTCCCACCCTCCACCCACTGATAGGCCCCGGTGTGTGTTGTTCCCATCTATGTGTCCATGTGTTCCCATCCTTTAGCCCCCACTTATAAGTGAGAACATGTGGTCTTTGGTTTTCTCTTCCTCAACTAGCAGATGAGGTTTTAATATCATATACTGTGCTTGGTTTTGCATGTGTTGTAATGTGACCTCATTACAATGTCAACTTCTCAAGATGAGGGAACATGTCTCAATCAGTTGTGTAACCCTCCCCCCATTCCTATTACAAGGCTAGCGGGGTGTTCCATCAGTAATACTCACTTGGCTTCAACATTTCTAAGAACAGATGGAAGCACTCCTCCTTCTGTCCAGAACCAAAATGAGTGTACTCAGACTTGCATTCATTTGCAGTCATCAACGATGGTGACCAGTCTTAAGCTAGCTTTAATACAGGATCCATGTTCTCAAGTCATTATCTGTGACTCAAGAATGGAGTTATAGGGATGCTTTTTTTTTTTTTAATTCTAAGGATTACTATGAGTAAATGAATGCATTCATACTGCCTAACCAAGTTTCTTTTTTAAAAAAATCAACTACACATTTGCTTTGTTATGAGCACAGAGAGTGGCCAAAAACAATACTTGTGGTGATTGACCAATGACTAAAATTAGCTAACTTACCTCTCAAGCTGTTAGGCATCAGGCACTGTCCCAAAGTCCTTCCTGTTGGGGCCTGGGGTGTCTGTATTTGTGACTGCATAGGGGTAAATTTGCTTCACTCCCACAAAAATCTATGAGGGAAGTGCTATCATCATCCTCGTTTTATAGATGAGCAAACTAAGCACAGAGAGTTTAAATAACTAGTCCAAGGAAAACCAGTTACTAAACAGTAGAGGCGGGATCCTATCCCAGGAAGTCCAGACATAGAACCCATGGCTCCATTATGATCGCTTGCTGACTCCTGCCTATTTGTTTAGAGTGCAGCTGGACTGTGCTCCCACACAAGCATACAACCTTGTCACATGGCATTGCCACATACTGATAACCCTTCGTGAGTATAATAAAAGCATGAAAACATATCATTTTCACGTGTGGGGGCATCACACTAGGACTTGTCATCAATGGACGTGAATTGGTGCTGTCTTTCTCACCTGGAGCATGTAAATGTTATTCCCGCCTGAGTGCAGTGGCTCATGTCTATAATCCCAGCCCTTTGGGAGGCCAAGGCGGGCGGATCACTTGAGGTCAGTAGCTCAAGACCAGCCTGGCCAACATGGCGAAACCCCATCTCTACTAAAAATACAAAAATTAGCCGGGCATGGTGGCACACGCCTGTAGTCCCAGCTACTCAGGAGGCTGAGGCAGGAGAATCACTTGAGCCTGGGAGGCAGAGGTTGCAGTGAGCCGAGATCGTGCCACTGGACTCCAGACTGGGAGACAGAGTGAGATTCTGTCTCAAAAAAAAAATTTAAAAAGTGTTTCTGCCAATGTCAGGGGAGGTATCTCATAGCAAGAAACAGGTTGCATCATTTCATTTCAGTTGAGAGGAACAGAAAAATAATATACTGAGCAGTATAAACTTTTGGAACTGAATTTTAATCATTTTATATGGTCTGTCATTTAATGACTCATGGTAATACTATTAACAATATACCATTAAGCGGACACAGGCTTAAAATGGCATGTATAAGTATTAGCCCACTTTTTGCATAGATCAATACATAAATATACATCTTTGAAGGTGTTAACAATGCTTAGCTTTTGGTACCAGTGTTTTTGGTATGTTCCTTTGTTTGTTGCTTGTATTTTCTACACCAATTATCTATAATTAAAATAGATTACTTTACCCCAAAACCAATTGATATAGTTTTACGTTAATCTGAACAGATAAGCCCAAATTAAAAATACATATATAAACATCTTCAATTGAACTCAAGTGGCCAAAAAAAGCGATGTTTTAAAACATACACACATAAGATGCTGTATTTTTTAGATGTCTTGTTTTAAAATTACTTCTGAAACATATTTTTTCAAATACAAAAGGAGACAGAAGGAGTTTACTAAATGTTGGTTTCAAACCAACCAGCTATATGAAGTCAAAACCATGCTTTTTACTTCTTTAGATAAGATACCTAATTATGTACTTACATTCAAATTAAATTCATGGTCAAGCTCTATTGCTCCATTAGTAGTTTCAGAGAATAAGTTACAGAGATGGTCATGTGAGCAGATACCGACAGAAGGAAAAGGAGGAGGAGGCATGGGACAAGGAGGAGGAGGAAGACAAGAAGTCACTGTGGTCTATAAACCGTAACTTAGGATGTGTGGAGCAAATTTTACTTTCCACATTAAACCAAAACCAAAGTTAAAATAATTCTATTTTACATTAGAAATTCCACAGCCTTGGTATTAAGGAAGCTTTTTCTTTATGGTATTTTCATTCATTTCATTTCAAAAATTTGTTCCAAAGGCCTATATTAAGTTATCTGCTACTCCATAGTAATTAACTTATGATTTTACTCTCCTATGCTATAGAAAGGACCCAGGACAAGAAGATTACTTCAGTGCCGGAAAGAGGCGACTTTCAAACAAAGGAACATGTCTCTGAAGGGGAACTTCTATGCACTTCAAAACTGTGCCTGGAATTTGCTATACTCAACGGCCCAGTGACATTGCGTATGTCTCAATTTTGTGGTGATACAGTTGGTGTCAAAATCCAATTTGGACATGCAGAAATTCGTTTCTATGATTTACTCTAAGCCCAAAGTCAGGAATTTGTTTTCTACTGAGGGATGCTGACACATGGGAGAAAGACAGATTACAGGGCTCAACGAGATATATACACTATCCACTCCTGAGAGAAAAAGAGACAAAGAGGGAGAGCCAGGCACTGTGATAGGAAATGGAAACCGATATTCAAGGGGAAAGCACCCGTCTTCTGACCTACTCATTAACAGCTGTTCTAAGCTGTTTGGTGTAGCTTGGGCAACAACAGAGTTCTCATTTGAACATTTTCCTTCATTTGATTTCACAGATTGCTTACAGCTTATTTTCATCATCATTCTAAAATAGTTGACAAATCTCAATATCAGTCTGTGATTTTTGCTTCTTTAGGAAGCATTGATCATTTTAATTCTAAAAAGAGAAGCCACGCAAGTTAGGCAAACGCCTTTTATTGTGAAACATCTTACCAAACAAGGACAATTTTGTTGATTATTTATCACTATTGGTGTTTAAACAATATTAGTTATAAAAAACACTTGACCTCAAAAATTATTTTGTCTGTTTACTCTGAATATATATGCATATATATTTACTCTGAAAGTATATATATGCATATATACTCTGAAATTATACATATATATGCGCATATATATATACTCTGAAAGTATATATATACTTTCATATGTGTATATATATGCGCATATATATGTATATATATATAAAATGAAAGGGTTGCAGGCCAAGAATAAACCAGACTAATCATTTGTACTCAATGAATTGCTGGTATAAGTGGTAATATAGTTTTAATAAGATATTCAAATATCTAGAATTTTAATATAAAACATTTTATTCATAATTTTTCTGCTTAAAAAGTCTAAGCCCTCTATTTCTTGATCTGAGAAATTATGCATCATTCCTGACTGAATTTTGAATTATTTGTGAATTCTTATAGCATAACTTGAATGGCAAATGACAAGAAAGCAACTCTTGAGAAAAAGGAAAAATGCATACCTAATAGGCAAACCCAATGTTTCTATCATGATGACAAAAGGGGCTGTCATTGACTCATGTACAGAATATAAGTAGCAAAATTCTGGGCTTTTCTTACTTCTTAAATCTTGAAATGTACACTGAATGTTGACTTGGAAACTGTTCCAGACTGTTTGATTGATATGTATCACCTGTTGATCCACGTTCTTCCCTCTATTCTTCCTTCTTGTATCTGCATTGTATACCATGCTTACTGAAGAAAAAACTTTTTGAAAATCAAGTGTTTGGGTACTAATAACAAATACTCTAGATAATACTTAAAATTCAGAATAATTTCAATATAACTACCAATAATTTAAAATATTTTGTAGTTTATAATGTGTTTTCACATACTCTTCCACCTTATTATCTCCATTTTATTAATGGGGAAGTTGCTGAAACTATGAAAGTTATATATATATTTTTTTCAGACGGAGTCTTGCTCTGTCTCCCATGCTGGAGTACAGTGGTGCGATTCCAACTCACTGCAACCTCTGCCTCTTGGGCTTAAGCAATTCTTCCTGCCTTAGCCTCCTGAGGGGCTGGGATTCCAGGCATCTGCAACCTTACCCAGCTAATTTTTGTATTTTTAGTAGAAGTGGGGTTTCACCATGTTAGCCAGGCTGGTCTTGAACTCCTGACCTCAGGTGATCCACCTGCCTCAGCCTCCCAAAATGTTGGGATTACAGGCAGGAGCTACTGCTCCTGGCCTATACTTACCTTCTCTTAAACAAAGGCATAACTTTTTTAACAAGCCATAGTACCTTACAAATGCTAATATGATGTTTGATTTCTACTTCAAGACTTCTTGGAAAATGAAAAATATGCCCAGGCATATGGAAAAAGTATCAACAGATTTCACTTATGAGTGGAACTCCTTCAAACACCACACAGTCCTCTAACATTTAAATAGCAGTCATCAATTTATATTAAATAACACTTAAGGACCAAGTAAAATGAAATTATTAAAATGGTTCTAATTAAGCCCATCTTTACTAATTCATATAATATTAAAATTAATTTAGCTGCCAATTAAAATAGCAATTGTATTCTACAATGATTTCTTTTCAAAACAATTTATTTAACTTAATAATAATTTGGAGAAACAGTCATATGCTGTACTAAAAAAGGTATTAAAATGGAGGAACAGTTACCCCTTTGGGAGAAGAAAGGAACATGTATTGATTTTATACCTTTACCCCAAGAAAGTAACTTTCCATTGCTTGATATTTTTTTCAGAAATTATTTGTCTTGTCATTTTTATGACATACAGAGGCTTAATGCAAACTGTCAAAAGAAACAATTCCACAAGAACACTGCCTTTTTCCACTTTTCATCATAAACTGCTATTTGCCTCAACTAAATTAAATTTCTCTTGAGTTCATGAATCAGTCTAGGTGCTTCATTCTTTATTTGATTCAATGAAGAATGCCTATCTCCTCCATCAGTCCCCATAATTTGTTTGAAAAGGACTTTGCATAACAAATGAAAATAACTTTATTACTTGATCAGTAGAGGCAGTATTCAATTTATATAATAAAATTAAAGGTGAGAAAATAATTTTCTGCACACTTTCTATAGTGGCTTTCTCAATAGGAGTCTTCAACCTTCAAACACCTTCACAGTAGCGATTTGGACATTTGTCACTCACGGATTTTAAGGTAATATTCTTTCCCTTAGTAATCATTATGACTTAATCCAAGATCTTTCTTTTTTTTATTTTTTTTATTATACTTTAAGTTTTAGGGTACATGTGCACATTGTGCAGGTTAGTTACATATCTTTCTTCTCAATGTCGCAAACCTTTAGGAGGGCTACAGTTTGCAAAAAAAATTTATTTTAAAATGGAGAAAAAATCTTTATATAATGTAAAATTAAAAGCAATACTCAATATTGGTGTATCAAATGATTAATCATTTGGCATGTACCTACAATTAAAAAGTTGAGAAAAAGCTCAATACATGATTAATTAGTACTTGCTATTCAAGACACTTTATAGAAATAAATGAAGATAACATTGCAATGAATATTTGGAATTATATAGATGATATTAAACAAAAAATAAGCTAAGAACATCCTGTTTGATTTTACTAAAATTTAGCTTCCAAATGAATGAAGGTTTTTTTTAATGGAAAGTCAATGATTCTTACAATTTACATACAGAAACAATGAATAATAAATGATAATGATGATGTGAAACTGTCGAACAACAGAGCTCTGGCTTTCTTTTTCACGCAATTCCATTTTCTAAGCTTTCCAAAATAATAAAATGTACAAACTCAATAGGATGACTGAATACTCTAAGATGTAACAAAATACCCATGGCTGATTAAAGGCAAATTTGCTCTAATCATGTGTCTGCACTTATCAGAATGAAGTCTAAACAATATGCAGTATATCTTGACCAGAAAACAAATATGAAAAGCTCCACTACACATTGTGGCAGATGAGATTTTCTGAGTGGTAATTCTGATATTTGATGTATGCTCTTTATTCTTTCCAAATAACTTTGATTCTGTGCCAGCCAAGATATAGCCCTGGAAAAAAAAAATACTTCAAAGCACTAAAATGCTGAAAGAATCTTCAGTGTCAAGTAGAAAACAAAATTGTGTCCATATGCCTTACAAATAGTTTTTATTTCAAATCCATACAAAACAAAGTCTCAATCTTGTTAAACCTATGAGATGTGCAGGTATTTATTGGTGTTCTTTACATGTAATGCTAATTGATCACATTTGATTAACTTTCAATACAATTTTTATGTTGAAATGGAATTTAAATAAGTCATAGAAAGATCACCGATCAGGATTTGTCCTTTTCTTCCTTCACAATTAATTCAGATTTTTAAAAACCCAATTATCACATATTGCCAGGGAAATGAAGAAGATATTCAGGAAAGAATGTAGGCAAATAACTGCTCTGGTTACATGCTTAAAAAAAGATGAATTTGATATGTGTATGTCACTCTAAAAGGGTCAGGAAATTGTTGAGGGAATTCAAACAAAAAATATATTTTTACAATAATTTACTAGACATTCCAGTTAAACATGTCTAAGATTCTATTTGTTTTTGAAAATTATAACTTATATTTTATACTTCATTTGACTCATACATGCTTAACTTAAGAGAAAACCTCATGAGAGTTTTAAAAGTTGAACTCTGGATGACGTAAGCCATAATATGTGTTCTTCTATGTGGCATCAGTTTTCTAACCATTTTAGAATACCTGAATACATATGAAATTGTGCTTTAGGTTGGAATTATTCCAATAGTTTTCTTAAATCCTCACTCACACATAAAATCATGACCATGGTTACATAATCTAAAGATTGTTACTAATAATCTCAAAAAAAGTTGGGAAATATTAGGAAATAATATATAATATAACCCTTTATAATATAAAATAATCCTTTCTTTACCCCTTCTTGTGATGTTTGGCCATAGAGTCAATGTTATCATCACAGTAATACAGGACAGTTGGCCAAATACAATAATCCAGTGATATCATTAGCTGTTAACAATTCCAGCGTGGTTTATGGCACAGTGTAAGATGAGAAGACAAAAAGTGTTTGCTCTTGGATGAACCTGTGAGCCAGCCACAGAAAAAATGGAGAAAGGACACTATTGGCAATTTATTTGTGGCCTGAGTTGCTCTCTTTTCTCTGTCCAAATATGAATGGGAATAAGTCCCACAGTTGAATATTTTAATATATTGGGTGCATAGAAGAAACAAGGAGAGAATTGAGGGGATAAAGCAAGCCACGTTTGGACTGTCAGTGCAACCTTACATCATGGCCAGCTCTACGGGCTCTGTGATTTTCTCCTTGGAAAATGATAAGGGTAAATAAAACAGAAGTGTAGTTTCAGGGGCCTGTCATCAAGTAATTTGGGATTTGTCTGGCTGTTACTTGTTTCTGAAGGAGCAAATGGCAGTGGATAGGCACACATCAAAATTTTGAGCACCTTGTGGCTGTAACATTGAAACTTAATCCAAAAAAGATGAGAACAAAATAAATCCAGGTGCTGTTGTTGGCACGGTAACACCTGGAAACTATTCAAATCTGTATTGGTACATCGACTTTTGAAGGTCCATTTTCAGCTTTATAAACTCTAGATGGTGCAGGTTTACCTTTTCTTCCATTCCTATCTCACACTTATAAAAACGAGGATGAGTTATGAAAAAATAACTTAAAATGTGTAAAGTGCTTTTAGCACTTAGGTGCTAAAAGAGTCTTCAAATCTACACCAGATCCCACCCCCATTCCCAATTGACTTTTGATGATAAACATACCGTTACGACATTTAGCTAATAAATTTTCATGCGTCATGAATTTATGGTAGGCTGTACAATAAAAGTAACCATTCAAAGCCAACCACTCTAAAACAAATGATGACACCAATTTTTGCTAATTCTTTGAATTTCTTTGTAAGGAAAACAACAGGGAATGCACAAAGAATACTTTCGGGTGATTTATTAATCCAGGTGCTTACTTTCAAAATAAGTAAAGTCAGCCAAAAAAATGTTTGGTACTACTAATATATATTGAAGCAAGAAAGCAAAAGTAAACTAATTTAAGATAAACAGTATGCATACGTTTCTGAGATCTGCAGAGAGCCCTAGATATATAACAATTTTATAATATATTTGACACATATGTTCAGGACCCTTTTCCTGACTACTTGAAATAATCAAGTGTTTGCGGTAATCACAGTTTAACTGATAATTTTAAAGTTTTAAAATAATTTAAAATACACATTTATATCAGAAGTTAAAGAGTTGCTAAAGTGGTTCTAAAATAGTGTTTATATTTACTATATTCATATTTGATGGGGTTAAAATCCACATAGAAATCTTCTTTCTAATAAAAATTCCTATGGCTTGGAGTTCAAAATCTAGTCTTAATTTTATTTTTATTTAACTTTTATTCTACTATTTCATTTTCTGGAGTTCTTTTTTTCTTCCTTCTAATTTCATTTTCTTTATTGCTTTAGTATGCCATTACTGACCAAACATTTGAAACTAGAAAAATTTCACCCAATACATATCAGGGCATTTTCATGCTAAAATGTAATATTTACCAACAAGAAAATTGTGCAGAACCTTTACATAAAGGTGAAATCTTCAGAGGCTTTAGATTGTCACTCTTATGGAATCAGACAGTGCAGATGGTTGACAAAGTTCTCATCAAACCTGGGTACAAAACACCCTATGTAGCTGCATTTTTGCAAACAGCACACGTAAGTGGAAACAAAACAGCTCTATTATTTTAATTTTTGAATTCTTACTGATTATTTAGCAACATCAATGTTATAAATAACAAAATGATATTATATTATTTGAATCAAGAAAAACTCAACTATATATCACTTTGGATTTTTGAAGTAATCATAGACTATTGTTTTAATTTCCAGAAATTGCATAAGTTCTTTAACTACTAAGATATGCTTTATATATTCTCCAGAAACAATGAGGTACAAACAGAATTCATTAAACTACTTGCATATAAAGCCTGTAATACCACGAATTTCTTTTAATAAATATGATAATCTTAAGTTAAAAATACTTGATTTAGTGTCTGTCTTCACCAAACACTTATCACTATGGCCTGAACAGGTATGACTTCTGTTCAGAATAGGATAGATTATTCTTCCTGAACTACATGATATTTTAAATTTTATTATTAACTAACGGCATATATGATATGATTCTCAATTCTATAGCTAAAGTTAAGGAATCTTGCCTCCAAATTGGAGAAGTTTATTCATTCACAGAGGCGTTATTTGTTTTCATACGTGTCAAATAGTTAGATAGGGACTATGCTCATTTTATATGATAGTTCTTAGAAGTACATCCAAATGGTTGTCTACAGATGGGATACAATTCCAGAGAATTCATTAGCTGTTCAGCACAATTCTAATATTTCTTACTCAACATACAACTTATTTATTCCATCAATATAACACATTGAATTGATTTATTCAGGAGAATTGAATTATATCTCATAACCCAGAATTTTTCAGCAACTACCCATGTAAGCTTTAAGTATGTTAGAGAAATAAATTTTACCTTAAAACATATATATCAAAACTGAACTTCTGTACTGCTCTAATTTTTTTTATTCTGTGCATGCTAAGCTAAGCATAGAGCTTTTTTTTTTTTTTTTTTTTCTTTTTCCTGAGACAGGGTCTCGCTGTAGTTGCGGAGGCTGAAGTGCAGGCTGGAGTGAAGTGGCGCAATCACGGCTCCTGCAGCCTCCACCTACCAGGCTCACAGGATCCTCCCACCTGGGCGTCCTAATCAGCTAGGCTGGGACTACAGGCACATACCACCACTCCTGCTAATTTCATTTTTTTTTTAATTTTTTTTTTGAGACAGTCTCCCTATGTTGCCCAGGCTGGTCTCGAACTCCTGGCCTCAAGCAATCCTCCTGCCTTGGCCTCCTGAGTAGCTGGGATGACAAGTACATGCCACCACACACAGCTATTACTTTTTTTTTTTTTTTTTGTCTATCCTGCCTCAGCCTCCTGAAGTGCTGGTATTACAGATGTGAGCCATCACCCACTTGGCCTTTTTTTTTTTAAGTGTGAATTAGATAATCAGGAAACAAAAACAAATTGGAAAAAAACCCTGATATTTATCAGACCGTATAATTTTCTAAAGTTGCTCTTGCTCGGAATCAACAAGTGGCAAAATCAACAAGTGGCAGAATAATCAGATGGAAGAAAGAGCCGATAGGTAGGCAGAGTTAAAAATTTTACCCCAAACACCTTTTTCTTTGTGGTCGCCTATAGCTGGTACTGCTTAGCTTTCCCAGGGAGCCTGTCTGCGCGGGGCACTGTCCTCTTCCATGGAGAGGACTAAACGCGTCTGTAGGAGAGAGAAAGCCTAGCCAGAAAAGCCTTACAGGAGGCCGGGTGCGGTGGCTCACGCCTGTAATCCCTCCAAGCCTTTGATAGGCGGAGGCAGGTGGATCACCTGAGCTCAGGGGTTGGAGACCACCCTGGACAACATGGCGAAACCCCTAAAAATAAACAAAAAACAAACAAAAAAATACACACACACAAAATAAATTAGCCGGGCGTGGCGGCAGGTGCCTGTAATCCCAGCTACTCGGGAGGCTGAGGCAGGAGAAGCACTTGAACCCGGGAGGCGGAGCTTGCAGTGAGCCGAGATCGCACCACTGCGTTCCAGCCTGGGTGACAGAGCGAGACACTGTCTCCAAAACCAACACCATCATCACCACCACCACCAACAACAAAAACACAAGAAAAGGAAAAAAAGAAAAGCCTTACGAGAGAGTCAGGCAGAATTGGGGGATTTTACCACAAAAATGATCGCTAGTGAGACTCTCTCTTCATAGAATTGATTTTGAGGTAACCTGGAGCTCCTTGTCCAATAATGGCGTCCCCTCATTAGAAAATACACTTATTCCTAGGATGTTTTCTCTGTTCAATTCATTTCTGGAGCTCCTCTTTGGGAACTGACGTCAGAGTCAATTTAGGACCCACATAAGAAAATCCGTTCTCATTAGTGTAAGGTCAAGCCTCAGACATCAAAACAGTGTAGCCTCTTGGGTCCCGTCAACTTTGACGATAAATGATGCCACACGGCTCTGAATCTCTTTGGCTCTGTTTATACTGGTTAGAAATTGAACATGTACAACCACTATTAGTGGTCAGGTAAGCAAAAATCTTTCCTTCGACTTATTTCACAATTGCTTAAGTGTCTTCAAACTGAAAATGTGACTCTTGTAACGTTTTAAACTCATGGATTTATATTTTACAATTCTATGCGTAATTTTAGCCATGCTGTAAACACCATAAACATTATTTCCAATTTTAAATAATATAAATTATTACATTATGCAAGGAACTTCCCTATAATAGTGTGATGTGAAATTAGCAATAATTATTTGCAACTCCATAATCTCACCAAATGGTGGCACATGTACCGTGTTTTCTGTAGACTGAGACTTGTGAGTTTCATTCCTAGTACGACTTGGCATTAGCTGCTTCTATAATATTTCCTTGCATTTTATAAAATCATTTGAACTCCTCTAAAGGTTTCAACATCAAATTTTATGTTTTATTTTAATCATCAATAACTATGTAGCTCTCACCTTTATTTGCATTTTGTAATAAAATTTGAATTTTCTACAAAAGGATCTGTTCAGTATTAGCAAGGACACAATGGCAGTCTTTCTGGCAGGGTAATGAACTTGAAAAATTAGCATTTTTTTCTCTATTGCAATGATTTTATGTATCTCTTAATTTATTCAACAATCGTTTATTCATGAAATATTTACTGAGTACTTGCAACGTGTCAGGCAGCATGCTAGGCATTTGCAATAAAACTGTAAACGAGACAGACACAGCCACCTACTTCATGGACCTACAGGAAAAACAGACTGGTCAAGGTGTTTCATCATGTTCAGATATATATATATATATATATATATATATATAAAAAATATATATTATATATATCTGATAATATATAACTATTATCTTTAGGGCATGCTTCATCCAGTACATGTTAAACATGGTTTAATGGAGTTGTTTTTTGTTTGTTTGTTTTTAGCTACTACATTGCATAATAAATCCCATGCTAGTTAATCCAAAATTATTAGTAAGAAAATCAGGTGAAGAAATTAGAATGCAGGTGAGATAGTGATAATGTCTGGGTTTTTTGAGGTCTTTGATCTTAAGTAAGTAACAAGCTTTCTAAGTCTATGTTTTCTCATCTGTAAAATGGGGTTAAGAACCTGTATCCCTGGGGTAAATCTTATATATGAAAATCTCATATATATATATATAAAATATATACTTAGAAAGCATTATCACATGTATGTAACATGTACTAGATGAAGCATGCCCTAAAGATAATAGTAGATTTTGGAACCCCAGATTTGGCTTTGGACAAGTTATTGAAGTTAACGATTGATTTCAGTACTCTCATTTGTATTTTACACACTGTATTTTATATTGTATTCTCTCAATATTTCATAATGTTGGATTGGTTGAAATATTGAGTGGAAATAACTACAGAGGTATAAAACACAGAGTTAGCACTTCATAAATGGTAACTAAACAATTCCATAATGTCACCACTGGTCCCTTCTTCCCCTTGCTTAGAACATTGCTTCTTCAATGCTGCAAGTCACTTTGAAGCAAACTTCCTTCATTTATGGAAGAATCATCTGACTGTCTCCTTTAGTTATGTAGATGTGAAGCAATTGGAAGCAATTAGAATCTTCTTTCTTTTTTCTTTTGGGTCTAGCCCGCCAGGAGCCCAACCGTGTAGACATGAGGTTGTGTTTGTGGTTGCACATCCTTTGCTCTCTGGAAGCTTTGCTTTTGTCTTAAAGAAGAGGCTGGAGCTAAATTTGCCTGGGCATCAGTCTTCAGGGAGGAAAGCATTCATAAACCAACTCCTATCTCTTTGAATTCAAAATGCTTAAGCCTCGTTTCTTCCATTGGTCTTGACAGAAGTGAATCGTTAGTAAAACACAGGCAGAGTTTGTGAGAGTATCCAAAAAAAAAAAAAAAGAAAAAGAAAGAAAGAAGGATCTCAGATATCCCAGACCAGTGACCAATGACCAAGGTTCAGCATCCAGACAGAAAATGTGTCTGAAGAGAACCACTTCTGGAAACATCATGTACCCCCTCTAGAGATGCCTTTGTCACTCTGGGTGTGCCCCAGGGAAGTAGACTTGAGTGTGTTTCTGTGAAAGCTGTGTCACTGGGTGCTGCAGGATTGGCAGTCCAGGCTCACTGCCTTGGTATCAGGAGACTGTTGGAGACCTCCAGAGGGAATGCTTTCAGCAAAAAGATGGAACATCAGTCCATCTTTTTTAAATGATGAAAAATAGGACTGACCCTTTGGACTGGACGTGTACTTTGGAAATTTGGGTGGACACAAGAACCTTAGGAAAGGAAAGTCAGTTTGGTGGCTTGGAGAATTGGTGGGCTAAGCATGATTGTGTCAGAAGCGTTCGAACAAGAGCAATTACATCTTGAATAGAGGCTGGGTAAAATGAGGCTGAGACCTACTGGGATGCATTCCCAGATGGTTAAGGCATTCTAAGTCACAGGATGTGATAGGAGGTTGGCACAAGATAGGTCATAAAGACCTTGCTGATAAAACAGGTTGCAGTAAAGAAGCCAGCCAAAACCCACCAAAACCAAGATGGCAATGAGAGCGACCTCTGGTTGTCCTCATTGCTGTATTCCCACCAGTGCCATGACCATCTACAAATGCCATGGTAATGTCAGGAAGTTACCCTATATGGTCTAAAAAGGGGAGGCATGAATAACTCACACCTTGTTTAGCATATCATCAAAAAATAACTATAAAAATGGGCAACCAGAAGCTCTCGGGGCTGCTCTGTCTATGGACTAGCCATTCTTTCATTCCTTTACTTTCCTGATAAACTTGCTTTCAATTTACTCTATGGACCCACCCTGAATTCTTTCTTGTGTGAGATCCAAGAACCTTCTCTTGGGTTCTGGTTTGGGACCCCTTTCCTGTAACAATTGTGTTTTAACTAAGACAAAAAGAGTTATCTAATATTACCCGTTGGCTATTGTTTAAAGTATTGGTTCTCCATCAATGCTTTTACTGTTTTATATCCATTTATACAACAACAAAACCCAGAAAGTTACATTTGTTATTAATAGGAACAATATTTTCTGATGACTTCAAATTACCAAAAATATTTTTTAAATACTTTGAATGCTTATAGGGCGTTGAAAATCCTCACCACTTAACTTAGCCTTGAGAACATCTTCTTTAGGAGACATCTGAGCAAGATCCAAGTATAGATATATTTCACAGAACATGGAGGTAAATATAGATTTGTACATTATGGATGGAAATCAGTTTTTAAAATTCAGATATACTAGGAATGTAAGTGGCATTGCCATTCATTTTTCCATATAGGACCATGTGGATTTTTTCCCTGAGAATATAACACTATCTGTTATTGTTCAAGGTGTACCATAAGTAAGAGAGCCTAAGCACAATTTTTTTAAAATCCTAAAGTATTTATTCTGCCAACACTCCTAATTATCCACACTTTATTCAAGTTATCAGCATAAAAAAAGATTGTGAAGTTTTTTACCTGGATGTATTTCTAGATCAAATGATTCACGCTTATGTCCAGAAATTTGCAGAAGCCAGTAGGCATTTTATTTTTCTCATATGAAATTGGTTCGTCGAGAAGGAAACAATGAAATATCATGCCCACCAGAGGGACTGATCCTGAAATCTGTGGAGCATTTCCAGAACATCGCAGGTTAATGTAGCTTCTTCCAAGGCCTTCTGCTTGTCTTCACAGCTCTCTGAATGCCTTTACCCACTTTCTGATCATCCTTACCCAGGCAAGCTCTCCCTCTTTCCTTTTCCTTTCTGCTCTGGTGTTTTGAGTCAGTAATAGCAGTCACTCCACCTGTACCCTGATGTTAGCAAAAGGTTCTATTGGGACCGGCACTTCTCTCCACACTTCGAGTGAATTTCAATGTTGTACATCTTCAATAGCCACTGGCTGCCTTGTCTAATACGTTCCCAAAGCCTTTTAACAATGAATCAACAAGGGGTGAAAGGAAAAGCCTGGGACCGACACAGCGGGGGCGCCCCCAAAGGAATAGCTTGTGCTGCACTCAGTGGTGGTGGTTGTGGGGAGGGGAGGGCCCTGTTGGAGAAGGGACAACACTGAGTTCACACAAGGGCTCCTGGACAAGACTTATCTCTGCCAGTGATACACGGTCCACAAGCCTGGGACAAGAATTGCTGAGTCAGAACATATCCTCATCATCTCTCTTTTTACTACCATAATAGTAATTTACCATCATCTAGTTCTTTTGTGGCATCGGCATATTCAAGGTCTCACAGCCACTATATTTCGCATGACTTCCCTCAGCTCTGTCATTTTGCTTTCTCTAAAATAAAAGTTGGTTTCAAGTTCATTATGCTAACCACTTTAGGTCTTGGGCATATCTTCTCCGTCCTTGATTTAAACTATCCTTAGAAAAGCCTCATATATCTGATTTATGTCTTTATATTACTAATAAATAAGTTAAAGAAAGCTAGAATCACTGCCGTTTTTTTGCACCCACCATTGGGCAATTTTTATGCAATTGAAATACTGCTTATTTCCACCTCACTGGCACAGCACTTCATGACTCAGGTCTAAGGAAAGTACCTAAGGTATTAAAATCCAGAAAAATTACATCAAGGGCCGCAAAAATGAAATCTTTTCTAATACAACTTGAAAATGGCAAAGAAATATAGAATTTGAAGGTAGTCTCAGTTCTGTCTCTTGACAAATTTTGGTAAGCTCACCGTTACACCACGGAGAGCATTTATCCCAAGCAGCTCTGCTGTCTCTGTCTCTAAATCATTCCATATGTCAAGAAAGGCTTATCTATACATCACAAAACCACTCTGAAATATAGCTTACTCAGGGGAAAAAAGTGCTATCTTAACGTATTATGTGATAATTAATCACACACAGTTCAGGAAGATAAAGATTCTCTTGCAAAACAAGAACAATAAAATAAAGAGGTTAAGATCCAATAATAAATTGGTACTCTGAAGGAGTTTAGAGTCTTTCTTTTTCTGATGTTTCTTAATCTAGAAGCCTAGAGGATACTTTTGTAATCACTAAAGGAATTTTATTCTTCCTACTAGAGCTGTTTCTCCCGGCAAAACAATTAGGTGATTAAAGAGGTTTACACAGAGCATCACTGTGGTCTACTAAGGATTTGTACTTGACATTACCAGTAAATGAAATTCACAGGGGAAAATCTGACTCATATGGGCTTTTATATAAAGGCAAAACAATTAGTCAATCAGTGTGGAGGAAGGGGAAAGGGAGAGAGTTAGTTGTACCAGATGTTAAGTAGCAAATTTTCCAGCTGATATATATATATATTTCCAATGGTTGCTTGGCAAACACATATCCTATTGTCAAAAAAAAAAATGAAAGAAAAGAAAGGCTTTATTTTGCTTTCCACCAGCCCTTCTAACCTCCAGGGGAACAGCAGGAGAAACAACCATTATAGAAAAATATAAAACGTACTACTCCAAACTTTCCAGGATAAGGACATATATTCATCACAACTATGGTGTGATTAATTCTTGATAGTCTTAAAATTGTGTGGACACTAACTCATTCTAGCTTTCCGAAAGTTAATGATTCCTTCCTTATCATTAATATAATGTTTTCCTTTTATGCAATGCAAAGAAAACATACTGGCTGAATGTGAATGTGGATCCACATTCCCAACCTGTCATCTTCATCTTAACTCTTACAGACATTGTTCCAAAATATTTTATCATACTCGTATCTTATTGCTTGTATATATAATAATCATTTCCAACTTTTCTACTATAAAACCCTGCAGGGAGAGGAATATGTAAACAGCAGCAGAGTTCCTTTTAGATACTAGGCACTTGAGTGTGCTGAGAAAAAAAAAATGGATGACTGGCCTGATGTTGTTTAATCAAAAGAGCAAAAATTGGCTTTTCAGTTATGCAAAGCAATATTTCATTTAGCTGTCATCGTCGATTGATTGAAATCTATCCCTTAATTCTTTATATCTTGTCTTATATCTAAAAGTTTCACTTGGTAAATGGTTGTCATTCAACATGTACTTCCCACAGTATGCATTCTAAACTGTAAACACCCCCACTTGGATTTGTTTCTCAGCACATAGCACATACCTTATTATCCAGTATACATCACTAATGTTCATGGTTAATTTCAACCTGCAACCTCACGAAATGGTATCAGGCATGTCACATATTAATATGTTGAAAAGTAGAAAGTTCTTAGTGCCTTAACTAGTTACCAGTTAAAGGAGGCTACCAGCTGTTTAACAAATTAACCAAACTAACTTCCCATGTCATGCTGATTCCATGCCAGCTGCAGTAGAGTTAGGCATGAGAAGTTAATGCTCTAAAAGCTGCCCTTGCAAGTTCCAGGACCATCAAGGATAGTACTGCAACTGTGGAAACTTCTTAGAGTAGAAGCTGGGCTCATGGGGTCCTGCATTGTCGGGCTCCTCCCGCAGTGCCTCAGATCTCTTGGTCTGATCCGGGAACAAGAAACACGTGGGTCCAGCCAGGAGCAGCGAGCCATTCAAATGAGTCAGCTGGTGTGTGGAAGATCAGTGCTTGCATCTTTGAATTTTGCTCTGCCCACCTGCCTCCTGCAAAAGGCAGAGATCAGAGGCTCCGCAGGATCAGTGAAGGGCATCTCACACTGCAGGAAAGTCAGAGTCTCAGGGAGGGCCCGTGGTGGGGTAGCCACTTAAAAAAGACAGAAGCTCCGGAGGAGGGAAAGCAAAAGTGTGAGGTGTTGACTCTCCTTTGTTGTTTAAAGAGGAATTTGGTAACATAAACATAGTTTGGAAAGTTAACCTATTATTATTATTATTTATTTTAGAGACAGACTGTCTCTCCGTCACCCAGGCTGGAGTGCAGTGGCACGAACATAGGTCACTACAGACTCCATCTCCTGGGCTCAAGTGATCCTCCCGTCTCAGCCTCCTGAGTAGCTGGGACTACAGGTGGGCCACAGTGCCTGGCTTATAGACAAACACACACACACACACACACACACACACACACGGGTCTCTATGTTGCCCAGACTGGTCTCAAAACTCAAGCGATCCTCCTGCCTCAGCCTCCCAAAGTGCTGTGATTACAAGTGTGAGCCATTTTCCTTTGCCTGACCCTCTATTATTGAGAAAGTACCTTGGAGGGTCACTTGGTTGAATACTATGTGACCGCACGGATTCAAACCCCAGCTCTGTTACATGTGGGCTGTGTGGCCAACCCCAGGCACTTCTCCACACTACAGTTTCTTCATCTGCAAAATGGATATCATGATAGCACCTGCCTCATAGAGCTGTTGTGACTATTAAGTCAAAGTTTCTAGATTACATGGAACCATTAGTACATTATCACCACCAACATCATTTTTCTAGGAGCAAATGTAAAAGGAAGTAAATGACAATGATAAATCACAGAAGTAAAGCTTTACAGATAAATGAGCTTGAGGTGTAGCCAACATTTCCAGGCTTCTAACATGTTAGAAATCACTCAACAGTATTCCCAGGGGTTTTACTAGACTGGCTTTTGGACCTTCATCAAGTGAAGTGACAGCAATTCCTAACGCTGTGCATGGCCCCTCCACTATAAAGTAGAAAGTGTTCATCTGAAAGGGTTGGGAGGATGAGCTGGGGCTTTGTTTCAAAAAGGATTCTGTTACATAAAAAGTTGAATCAAAAAGAAACATACTATGCACTTCTCTTTAAAGAGATTTTTAAATTATCAAAGACTTCAAACATTTATAAAGGTAGAAAGAATAGTAATGAACCCTGAACTCTGTGCACCCATCACCTAACATGAATAATAATCACTCGTGGCCAATCTGGTTTTCTTTCATTTATATCTATCCTTGTCTCTTTTCCAAAAAAGTACTTGCAGTATGCATTCCTAAATGAAAGGCTCTTAAAAATATAAACACATTACCACTAAAACACTTATAATTAATTATTACTTAATACTAACAAATATGTGGACATTTAAAAAACATATTTACATATATATGTGATTTACAATTATAATTTTTGTTTTTTTTAATTTTATTTAATGTTTTTATTATTTCTTTTCGGTAATGGCTTACAACACACATAATGCATGTATGTGTGTATACACATACATACAAATATATATTTTTAACTTGATATGTTATATAAATGTACTAAGTAATTATGTATTTATTAGTAGCACATGCACAAATAGTGTTTTACCAATACCGAACCGTGATCCTTTTGTTGGTTATTATTTTGGACTCGTGGGTGCATGTGCCAGTTTGATTACATGAGTATATTGCATGATGCTGAGGTTTGGGCTTCTAGTGATCCTGTCACACAGATAGTTAACATAGTACCCAATAGGTAGGTTTGCAACTCTTCCTACTCTCCCTTCCATCCCCCTCTGGAGTCCCCAGTGTCTACTGTTTCCATCTTTATATCCATGTGTACCTGATGTTTAGCTGCCACTTATATGTGGTATTTGGTAAAATTCTCTTTTTTAAATGGGAGAAATGGGGTGCCTTCTTACCCTCTTCTTGCCAACCCTTTACACTTTAGGTGGCAACTTATTTAGCTCCTGCTCTTTTCAAATATATTGAGGTTATTAGTATATATCAACATAAAATATTTGACCTCCTTGGAAGGAACAGAGAGTGCAGGTCTAAACGATAGAAGATAAAAAACAAAAACAAAACAAAACAAAAAAACAAAACACCAGCCTAGTTATGGGACAGAGAAAGCAAGGCAAAGGGAAGGAAGAAGTACAGGATTGTGGCAGAGATGGGGCTGTGCACAGAGGTCAGGAAATGGGCTGGCAGGGGTGTCACTGCCCGATGACCTAAGCAACTGAATTAAGTCTGGCTTTGAGAGAAATGACCAGTGTTTGGCTGGGAAACAACTCATAAGAATTTTCTGGGCAAGAAGACAGGTGTTGTTATTGTCACTTTGCGGAGAATATGACAAAAAGTAATGGTATGTCACCACCAAATGTGAAATTAAATGATTTTTTTATTAGAGGATTTCTGAGGGAATAAAATAGCATTGTATTATACACAGAATGAAGATTAACAAGGTTATTAGTATGCATACCATATGCAAATGTGTATAAACATTTACACATATATAGAATTAAGCAGATTTGATTTCAAATCCTTGCTTAATTCCTATATAATTGAGCAAGTGATTTTCCCTTATTGAGCCCCAGTTTCCTCAACTAAAAAATGGGAATAGTAACATGTCTATAAGGTTACTGTGAGACTTAGATGAGATAAAAACATGCTAAGTACTTAGTTCAGTGTCTGGTTCAGATACTAAGCCATATACTTGTCACAAAGCAGCAACAATATCAGAAGCAGAGGTGGTCGTATTATTAACATTTCTCTACCTTCTAGCCAGCTTTTCTTTGCCTGGATACGATTTCAGAACAGAGAAATGCAGGGAGAGGGCAAGCAAATGGATACTAGAAATAGCCAGTGATTGCAGGAAGGTGACTGGGACCTGGGGCAACCTCTTAGAATGAGTAAAGGGATGTGACAACTATGTGGGGACTGACCTTCGGTTGGTGCTTAATCTCATGTCTTTAGGGTAAAAAACAAAAACTAAAATAATACTAAACAATTTAAAAAGAAAAAAGAATTCCCGCAAATTAGGTTTGGGGGAAAGTGAAGACAAACTAGAGAAATAAATTTGGTTGAAATCAACCTTTGCTAAAAGTAGGCTCCAGAGATGAATTGGAGAGGAAATGTCACAAGATGTGAATGGACAATTTGTTGAGCTTGCTTTCTAGAAAAACAGTAATTTAACTTCAGATAACTTCACTAAATAAAATATTGTATTCCTTGAAACTGAAGTCTTTGAAAGATATATATATATATATATATATATATATATATATATATATATATATAGCACTTATGTAGTGATTTTGCTAAAACACAGGAAAGATGGGACAAGGTGAGGTGTTTCTCACATTGGGTGATTAGGATCACCTAATGCAGCAGTTTTCTTTTTGCTGATAATATTGTTCTCATTTAGAAAAAAGATTAATTTCAAAAGATCAGGAAAATGGTACTTGAAAAATGCATCATTTTTCAGGGTTTCCATTTACAACCTGTTAAACTTTGAGAGAGAACCATTGAAAAGAAAATACCATGAACATGCCTTAATAGTTCATTAAAGCTCAGAGACTGGCTGAAAGATCTATTCATATTATAGTACTCATAATATCAAGAAGTGGAAGAGAAAAAATGCAAGGACCTTGAAAACCATCAACTAAATTGAGAATATCACTTTGGTGTCTCCTTCATGGAGATTGCAATGCTTTTGTGTCTTTCCTTCTTTCTTTTTAATATATGGCTCAAGTTCTAAACAAAATGTAAAATGGCTGTTTTATCACGTTTTTAAAGGGAGGGAGATTGAATTCTTTGGTGAAAACAGTTCAATATAATGCCCATAGACTAACATTAATTACTAATTTTAGGCAAAATGGCACACCAAATTAATTACTGATGAGCTATTTTAGTGGAAATATGCCAGGAATCAGATTGTTTGGGGGCAAAGTGGCTCTGTAATAAATATTTAACACACTGTGGGATATTCTGGTTGCCCTGGTCAGCCTTTCATTTCCTTTGATCCCTGGAAACTATTTTTTGTTGCAGTCAACTGTAACTGATTGCAGATGGCTATTTTTTTTTTTTTGCAAGCCAGCCACTTAATGTACAGTTTCCCATTTCTTCACTTGCTTTTCATCTGACTGTACCTCTAACACATAAGACATAAGACATAGTACCTGAGTTTGTTGCCAGGTGCAATCTGCTAATCATTTAATGCTTTAGATTTGAATCTAATCTGCCTGATGTTTCTAACTATTTATTTAAAATCAGACATTTCTGTAGTGAAAAATCACTTAGAATCTAGTTTATAAGCGGTGAGATACTGTAAGAACATTTTTCCCCATTAACAAGTATGTTGTTCCATTTAACTACAGTATTTTATAAACCAGTATCATGATTGTTTCCTTGAAGTCTTATCTGAAGTCTTTTCCTAAGTTTTCTCTTTCTACTGAAAAACCTGGGATTTCAGAATAGTAGTATGAGCTTGATAAATAATGAATTTTAGTCTGAATCAGAGTTTATCAGCATAATATATTAATTTTCAAAATATGCATCCCTAACATTTTTATTTTATAATGTCCATTATGACTAGAATTTTTAAATAGCAGAAACTGTAGAGTAACTTTTAAAACTGAATAGAAAATCACTGAGTGATTTTTTCTTTTTACACAATACCATAGATTACAAAATTAAATCATATAATCTTCTTCCAAGCACAAATTCAAATTAATTTTTGGACTCACTAATGCTTTTAAGAATGCAGGAGAAATGTTGACTTCCTGTGCTAAATCCAAATGAATAACTTGTAAAGACAGTGTTAACATAATCTTTTTGACTTGCATTGTCCAATACTAGCCACTAGCCACATGTGGCAACTCAGTTGAATTTAAATCAGTTAAGTGAAACTGAAAATTTAATTATTTGCTTGCACAAGTCACATTTAAGTACTCAGTAGCTGCAGATTATGGCGGTTGGTGTATTAGACAGTACAGGACTATGGAATATTTTTGTCATGTCATTGCAGGAAGTTCTAAGGATACATCTGTTCTAGATTTACTTCTCTAATCTCTGGATTTTGGTATATATTAATCTAACAAATGTAACACGTAAAAAGAAAAGTTGCCATTTATTGAGGACCTATCTGCTAAGCACTATACTTGGTGTCTATAATAATGTAAATCCAACGTCATGACCAATTAGATAATTTGTTTAAAAACTGATATAGAGCAAAAGATGATGTCATTTTGAGAATTACAAATACTTTTAATTTAACAACCTTTAAAAAGAACTTACTGAAAAACATAATTTTCAGTATCAAAATAATCATGTTAAACCTAGCCAACTACAAACAGGCTATGAAAATCTCTTATCTATATATGTATATTCAATCTGAATGCTAATAAAAATTTCCCAACCCACAGCTAGGGGAAGAAAAAAAGAAAACTAGATTGGGTTAATAGTAAAATATGAAGTGATTAAAATACTCTTCAGGAATCCATTAATTATATATATATATATTTATTTATATATAAAGGATGTAATTAGATTTTTTTTTTCGAGACATATTCTTGCTCTGTTGCCCAGGCTGGAGTGCAGTGGGGCAATCTTGGCTCACTGCAACCTCTGCCTCCCAGGTTCAAGCAATTCTCCCGCCTCAGCCACCCAAGTAGCCAGGATTACAGGCGCCCGCCACCATGCCCAGCTAATTTTTGTATTTTTAGTAGAGATGGGGTTTCACCATGTTGGTGAAACTCCTGACTGGTCTCGAACTCCTGACCTCAGGTGATCCTCCCACCTCGGCCTCGCAAAGTGCTGGGATTAAACACATGAGCCAGTGATTAGATTTTTATCTCCTGTGCATCAATTTGTGTTTTCACAAACCAACTTAGACCTAGTTTTTTTGTAAATAAGAATTGTTGCATTAAGTGTTCTCTTTCATATATCTTTACATCTTGTCTCTACATACCTCCTCATAAACAATAAACAACACATTAAGTAAACTTTCCAGGCAACATTGTAAATTACACTAATTATCTTAGATACTTTGTTTCTGGAATGTTATATTTAATATCTCACAGTATTTTTTAAAACCTAATTATGTTCAATTTATAAGAATTTATTTACTGGGTAAGAATGTTTAATAGGCTTAATTGATTAGGGCCTCTATATTCGTGCAAGCCCTCACTGTATGAATTTACAGTCCCTGTGAAATCACATCTCATGGAGGTATGCAGTGCAAAATTGGCACAGCTGCACATCTCTGCTCATCATTGAAAGCACACAGTGTTTTCCTTTGACTTTATTTCATGAATGTTTCTGACGAATATATAGCATGTCCTGTACCAAATGACAAGAACAAAACATGTTCACCAATGAGAGAATACTAGAATTTGGACTTGGAACTCAAAGCCATTGGCAGGTGCACTTCTATGCCTGGGATCTCCCTGTACTTCACTGAATATTCTGGAATGCCTAAAAGCAACCCTAATTATTAATTCATCAATTTAATCATTTAAAAATATATGTGTACCTAAGATATACCAGATCTCAGTCTAGGAATATAAAGAATAAAACAGTCCTTACCTGAAGGTTTTTAGATTAGAGAAAAACAGTGACACGGAGGAAGTAATTAAAATATGTTATTAGAACTGCCACCAAATGGATATGCACAAGGTATCGTGGAGGTACAGTGGATAATTACCTAAACCATCCTTGGGTATCAGTGAAAGCTTCTTAGGGGAATATTACCTTAGAGAAATTTTAAAGTTTGGGCAGGAGTTAGCCAGGTAGAGCAGAACTAAAGAAAAGCACTCTAGATAGATATTTAAGAAGACACAGGGCCGGGCGCGGTGGCTCACGCCTGTAATCCCAGCACTTTGGGAGGCCGAGGCGGGCGGATCACGAGGTCAGGAGATCGAGACCATCCCGGCTAAAACGGTGAAACCCCGTCTCTACTAAAAATACAAAAAAATTAGCCGGGCGTAGTGGCGGGCGCCTGTAGTCCCAGCTACTTGGGAGGCTGAGGCAGGAGAATGGCGTGAACCCGGGAGGCGGAGCTTGCAGTGAGCCGAGATCCCGCCACTGCACTCCAGCCTGGGCGACAGAGCGAGACTCCGTCTCAAAAAAAAAAAAAAAAAAAAAAGAAGACACAGAAGGACAACCCAGGAGTGTTTTTCAAGGTTATTCTACAGACTACAATAAATCACAGTAATTATTAATAATTGTCTCACTTACATGGCAAAAAGTCGTATTGTCTCATCAATATCCATTCTTCTCCTTCTTTAAAAATGAAATCCCAGCATTTTAGCTGGGCAGTTGGCTGACCATCTAAAGACTGTATTTCTTAGTCTCCCTTGCAATTAGGCATGGGAATATAACTAAGTCCCAGTCAGGGATATATGAGCAGAAGGAAATTTGTAATTTATTTTTATTTTTTGAAATTTTCATAAAATCTAGCTCCCAGAAGAATGAATTTGTGATTTCTAAACTCTGTCTTCAAAGGAAAGTGGAATGACTTCTATTCTATCTTTAAAGCTGTCTGAAATATAGATGGATGATAACTGGAGCAGCAATCTTAGAATTACAAGATTAAAATTGCATGTTGAGAATGACTGAGCCACAGGATAGGAGAGCCTGGGTCCCTGATACCACAGAGACACCCTAGCAGCACCAGACTGCTTAAACTTGGAATACTATGGGAGAGAATAAATGAATTTGCAACTTGCTTATGTCACTATTATTTTTAGATCTTTGCTAGAGCAATCATCTTTGTTAAGTGTTAAAAAAACATTTTTAACAATAATTTACTTTTATCTTTACGTTACTCTTATTTGACTAGAACTCCTGATGTACCTCAAGAATAGAATCTCTATTTGCTGGCACATGACTTTGGGATTTGTAAGACGACCCTAAATAAGTTTTTGGATCCTGATAAGTCTATGTTAGCTATCTGATACACTTTTTGAACAAAGATTTATGTTCATAGATTCTGGGGCATAAAACAGTTAATTTCATAGATCTTTTAAAAATAAGTTGGTAGTGTAAATTTATTTAGTGTGACTTAATCCAGCCATATATTTTATTATTTTAGCATATTTGCATGTATTATCTTGAAATATCCTATGGAGACATTTTCATAAAGGTACAATTTGATTCTCTTTTCTTTCTCTTTGTACACAAAAATTTTCCTTATTAATATTCTTCTATTCTTTGAAAATGAAAACCAAGTTACAGATAAAGCATACTGTAATACAACTAAAAAAACTGTTTGCAAAGGAACCATGTATGATGTATTCTTAATTAGGAAGGCAATACATTTTAATGTCATAAATGCCACATTTTATTGTTCCAAATACAACGTGTTTGATGTATTACTAATTTTGCCTGAAAAATTAAAACATCAAACTTTATGATTGTGCATGCAAAACTATGAACACTATATCATATCAAAATAACTCAGAATGTGAACAAATTATAGTTCTTTAGTACAAGCTGAAATTTAACTAGTTCGTATACAAAAGACATCAAGTAAACCATCTGCTTTTAAAGACTGTGCATCCTTCACCCTCAAGCTATGTAAACTAAAGCACTACTTTGAATTTTTAATTATTAGGTATTTTCTATCAATCAATAAAACATTGACTTCACTGAATATCACTGTTAATGTCAACATGCAGCATTCTTATAGTAAAATGATAATGACTAATAATGATAATAATTGATAACAAAATAACTGTTTGCTCTCTTGTTTCTTATATCCTCATACAGTTTATATACTACTTATACACCTGACAATGTAAAACTTTTTTCTTAGAAGCCATTTAATATTCTTATATTTCCATTGACTTAATCTCAATCATAGAAATAAAATTTGGTGCCAGCTGATAAAACATCACAAAACTAGAACAAGAGATATTGCCTACTATTTGGTGAGCTGGCCATAGTTCGGTGTTAGGCAACACTTCCTAGACCAAACTGAAATCCTGGATGATAAGATTTTTGCTTTAATTGTACATTATAAATCTAAACTTTATTCCATCTCTGTGATTCTGTGATGATAGAAAGGACAAAGCTTAAAAGGCTAGAAAGATCCTAGATATCCTTACTTGGAGGCTAAAATGAAAGGTATTCTGTAATCGAAGGCACCACAATGAGCTAAACAATAAACTAAACTGATTCCCTAAAAGAACTCTCCAGCCACTCAGACATAAAAAGCCTGATTCTTTCTCCCAGGGACTCACTCACATTCAAATCTTCCTTCTGAGGTTGAATAATATTCACAATATCTTTATATTTCCATACCTGAGGAACTAACATAGGTCTGTTGTGCCAAAAAATGTACATTCAGGACTTTTCAGAGACATTCTATGTGGCTTATGCTTTTTTTTCTTTTTTGAAGTCAGAATCATATCTACAGCAAATTCAACATCAAATGACAAGCCAGAATGATCAATGCTGCTCATAACAAATCCACCCTTCCAGCCCTTAAGAATTATGTGCTACAACACAGGAGTGTTGCAGTCGATGTATTTGAACTAGAGAGGACAGTATAATACCTAAGCAAGCATTCTGGGATGAGCCGAGGGATGACTGTAAACAGAGATGGCATCAGACATGCTATAAAGTACACATTCAAATATGACATAGCAGAGCTGTGCAGTGCCAGCCATCAACCACACAGACAGCCTCCTGCTCTGACAATTGGGATGGAAGTCTCTCAGAATCACAGGCGGTTATTGGTTTTGAAACTTTAGCTGTAGTTGCAATAAGTAGCCCTTACATAAAGGAAGAGTAGAGAGAACTCTACTGTACATTAGGTCAGCCTAACAGTGTTTTCAGAAACAGTGCTTACAAACTACGAGTCCAAAGAAAAAGATATTTGATTTCACAGAAGAATGCTAAAGGCCGGGCGTGGTGGCTCACGCCTGTAATCCCAGCACTTTGGGAGGCCGAGGCGGGCGGATCACGAGGTCAGGAGATTGAGACCATCCTGGATAACACGGTGAAACCCCGTCTCTACTAAAAATACAAAAAATTAGCCGGGCGTGGTGGCGGGCGCCTGTAGTTCCAGCTACTCGGGAGGCTGAGGCAGGAGAATGGCGTGAACCCGGGAGGCGGAGCTTGCAGTGAGCCGAGATGGCGCCACTGCACTCCAGCCTGGGCGACAGAGCGAGACTCCGTCTCAAAAAAAAAAGAAAAGAATGCTAAAGGATCACTGAACACCCGAACACCTCTGTAAACTACAATTTAAATCATGTGTTGCTCGTTGGAAATACCACGTGCTGACAGGACTCTGGTTAAAAATAAATTAAACATTCATTCTAGATCATATCCTCGGTCGGTATAGAAAGGCATCCATTTGTTGAAAGTCCCCCTCACTTTGTTTCTTAAAGACAAATAGAATGAAAAATACGACACAAATAATCCTCCCGCAAAAGAATCTTAATCCTTAGGCAACTTCATAGCATCAATTAGTTTGGCAGTTAAATGTAAATTACTCAATGGAAATGGAGAATTAGGACATACATTTTAAATAGTGAAGAGCTCTTGATTCGGATTTTGTAAACTAAAGGAAGAAATGTCAGTTTAGCACCCTTAATTCAGTTCAGCAAACATTTACTGAAGCTGTAATATTTGCCAGGCACTGCATCAGGCAATGGAGGTTTGAAGATAAATTATGTACTGTGTTAGTTTATTTTAAACATCTTTCCAAATCCATCCAAATAAATTAACATATGGTTTGCCTCAGCATAAGTAAAACTCTCCCCAAAATGTACTGAAATATTTAACAATTCAATCAATCTGAAGCTAAATTATATAAAAACGTATGTGTATACGTGCATATTCATAATTGTGTGCGTTCACCTACTTTGAGTCCCAGTGCTTTGCAGAAAGCCTGAGCAGGTGTAAAAATCATCCTGCCATTTGAACCAAGGCATTTTTTCCATTGCATTTATTTTTCACCTATGTATTCTATACTGCAATTTTTAAAGGATTATCAGAAGTGATTCTGGGGTCCTAGTGTTACAAACATGAATACTTTTCTTAATCCTAGTTGTGGGATAAGGTGATATAGACAGGCCATTACAGAGAGTAAACATGGGGCGACATAAAGAGGCAGGAGGTTCTAAGGCAAACCTGATCTGTTCAGGTATCCTGATTCCCAGGTCTCGTATCTCTTATATGGCCACCCCCTCTCTGGCTTAGCTCTTCCTATTTGGGGTCAGAGAGACCAGAATTTGAGGCCTGTTTATTTCTTTACTATTTGCACAACCTTGGAAAATGTAATTACCTAACCTTTCAACTTTAAGTTTTCTTATTACTGTCTCTGCTGTTTTCTTGTATTGGTATTGTCATTAACATCCACACTACCCTCACAGTCATCTACTTCACCTGTTTTTGTATTTATGTATTTAGTCATTTATTTCAGGAGCACTGTAACAAAATACTATTTTACCAAGTGAATAAATTGATAAAAAACAAATGTCTGTGATATGCCAACAATATATCTTCTACGAAGGCCAGCATAGATCTTTCAAGAAAGCAACGAGAAGGTTAGAGCACACACCTTGTGTAGAGCAGACAAATATATTGGTCTTTCCAGCTCATGCTGTAGCAAAAGATGGAGAAAAATACCCAGGCTGGGTTTTGTGGCTCATGCCTGTAATTACAGCACTTTGGGAGGCTGAGGAGTGAGGACTGCTTGAGGCCAGGAGTTTGAGACCAGCCTGGTCATAGTGAGACCTCATCTCTCAAAAAAAAAAAAAAAAATTGGCAGCCATGCTAGTGTAGGCCTATAGTCCCAACACTTTGGGAGACTGAGGTGAGAGGACTGCTTGAGTCCAGGAGTTGGAGGCTGCAGTGAGACATGATTGCGCTACTGCACTCCAGCCTAGGAGACAGAGTGAGACCCCATCTCTAAAAAACAAACAAACAAACAAACAAACAAACAAACACTCCAGTGCCCCTAGAGAAGCATAGAACATGGGATTTTGAAGTAAAAACATTTCTGATCTTCTAAAATGTCTGAGATAGCCTAGCTCCTGAGAGAGCCAAATTGTTCTGCATGTTGTATTCCTTATATTCACAAAGTCAGTGCCTCAGATATATTACAACAGAAGAGTGGTCTTTTTATTTCGGCTCCTTATGGCTTTCTATAACAGTCAAATAACCAGAGTTCTTACTGAGGTCTAATACCCTCCTGCTGTTATTTAATACAAGAACGATTTTCCTTACACATCGTTGGAAATATTATCACGCTACACTAGAGTTAATTTTATTTCCCCAGGGTCAGAAATATAGAATACGTGGTGTTCTACCACCTGTTAATAATACAAAAATGCTATTTTCTTTTGGCCACTTATTGTTACACAAAGAAAAGATTTAAAACTTCAGAAAAAAAGCACAAAATATGGTAAGTTAAAAGTAAACAAATATGAAAGATTCTGATTTAAACATTTCTAGTAGAAAATGCTTGTAAATATGAACATAAAAGGCCAATTGCTTTATAATAATTTGTCTATGAATTTCCTGCCTGATGGATGATCACCCACTTGAGGTCAAGGGCATTTTGTCTTACTCATTTTTTATCTTCAGCACTCCACACAGTTTCTAATGTAATTCCTAAAATATATTTGTTGAATCCATTAACAAATGAATGAAAAAAATACAAGTTTAAGATTTTTAAAAAATGAGGATGAAAATCCAAAGCCTTTGTTTCACAGAATTTATTTTGAGATGAGAACGATGGTTGGTTCTAGGACATGCCCATCTCCCACCTTTGATATAATCTGTGGATTGCCCACATTAATCACTCTGGTGAAAAGACATTGAAGGCAAATATTCAATGAGATCTGATGGAAAATGAGACCGGATGGTGATAACAACCAAATCATTTACTGTTAGAATTTTAATCCTATTAGTTAAATGGATGAATGTTAGAATGGACAAGTGATCATGAAAGAATGTTCCCGGCAGCACTGTATCATTAAGTAATTACTTACATGGCTTATACGAATTCTAGATAAATTGATACTACTATGGAATACATTGTACTGCCCCCACCCCATCCAGATTTTATATGTTGAAGCCCTAATCCCCAGTGTGATGGTGTTTGGAGATACAGCCATTGAGAGGTAATTAGGTCATGAAGGTGAATCCCTTATGACAGGATTAGGGCCCTTACAAGAAGAGAGAGGAGATCTTTCTCTCTCTCTCTATTTCTCTCTCTCTCTCTGCCATAAGAGGACATAGCAATAAAACTGCCATCTGCAAGTCAGGAAGAGGGCCCTCATCAGGAACCAAACCAGCTAGCACCTTGATCTTAGACTTCCCAGCCTCCAGAATGGTAAGAAATAAATGTCTTTTGCTTAAGTCTCATAGTCTATGATATTTTTTATAGCAGCCTGAGCAGACTAAGACAGACACCTAGCAGAATTCAGATAGAATGACTAGTTTAGCCTAATCAAGCAGTTAGTCAGGTCAGGATGCAGTTAGTTGAGGATGCAATTAGTTAGGTGAGGCCTGGATCTGGGCACATGCCTCGGAGGAAGACATGAGAATTATTCATGGTTGGTCCCGAGTACCCCACAATGAAAGAAACACATGTGAAGAAATAGGAGACCCATCCTAAAATTAAATCATTATATATAATATTATAGATAGTAATTATATTTATAATGTTATATAGATTATTTTCTTTGGTTTTAGGAAACAATCTGTTTTTGGTTTTAACCCCTCGCTATTTTAAAATCCATATTTTCTCATGCACAATTGATGTTGGCTGTCCCCAGAGGTGTTGTGAAATGGACTTACTTCAATTCAATGAATCTAAAGGTATTGAGGGCATTGAACATTTAGGGTCGAGACTTAGTATCCTATTCTCTTATGTGTTGCAGAGACTGAAAATCCATTATTTATGTTCTTTTGAACCATGAGATGTCCTTTGAACCACAGGTTTCTTTAACCTGGAAAATAAGCTTTTTAATTTAGAATACTACAGCTTGGAGCTACATATACAGGATGTACGCATCTTCATGGGATAGGAGAGAGTGCGTTACAATGTAGGAGTGTTTCGCCACCTGGGGAGATGCTGGCCTTAAATCCCTGGAAGAACGCCTGGAGACAGAGGGAACCTGGGTCACACCCCTTCTAGAACATGAGGCTTCTTGGGGTTCTGTAAACAAATTACAAGTACTTCAAACTAAAGAGGCTTTTTCTTTTTTGTTAATCTGCAAAGTTAATACTGGCAACAGGAAAAATAAAAGATCAAAGAAAAATATATTTCCAAAGAAAAATGACCATAATAGTGAGAATCTGAAGGTCGCATTACAAAAAATTATTAAGTGTTGCAAAATATGAAGTTTATTTTTTTTTCACCAGATGAAGTAGTGCATGTAACTCTAATTTTATTTTCAAGACAATGGGAAGGTAAATACAGGTAAACAGAGAAGGAGGCAGATTCAGCAACTTAGGGAAATGTCATTTTCACTTGGTTTGACTAATGTTCCTAGTCAAGCTAGAGAAGCATTTATATTAAACTATCACTATTAAGGAGACAGTGTGACAATGGGAAACTCACAGTTGTTTCCAGTCTCTTTGGAAATGCTTTTGTAACACAGAAGGCAAGTGTGAATTCAATCCAAAGACATTAAATCTCAATAGACAATGGGAAAATCTTATGTTTTCAATTTGAAGAAAATAACGTATTTGCCCCATATATGTATATGCATCTTTTTCCAACATGGGAATTGGGAAAGAGCATTTGCAAATCATTACCTAAAATTTACTGCTCTAAAGTCTACAATGGCAAAACTTTGGGAAGGAAAGAAACCAGGGCAAGTAAAATAGTACAGATAAAATTTGAACTATTTCATACACATATATATGAATGTGTGTGTGTATACATATATAAATATATATATAGATACATAGTTAAAATAGTTGTGTGTGCTGATCATCTTTTTTGTGTAGGTGTTCAACACAATTATATTGGAAAATAACACAGTCCCCAGACATTTATCTTAGTTTCTTCAGTAAATTCTATATCTTTATTCACATTACTTAATGTTTATCTTTTTAAAAGAGTAAATAAATTCTGAACCATTAATCATTTACATAGTTTGGCCAGGCATGGTGGCTCATGCCTGTAATCCCAACATTTTGGAAGGCTAAGGCAGGCGGATCACCTGAGGTCAGGAGTTCAAGACTAGCGTGGGCAACATAGTGAAACCCCGACTCTACTAAAAATACAAAAATTAGCTGAGCATGGTGGCGGGCACCTGTAATCCCAGCTACTCAGGAGGCTGAGGCAGGAGAATTGCTTAAACCCCAGAGGTAGAGGTTGCAGTGAGCTGAGATCATGCACCACTGCACTCCAGCCTGGGCGGCAGAGCGAAACTCGGTCTCAAAAAAAAAAAAAAAAAAAAAAATCATTTACATAGTTTGTGTTAATGTTAGAAATAATGATGAAAAAATGCTAGATAATCCTGTGAATCTCTTAAAGCTGACTTCTCATCATACTCCAGTCCTTTTAGTTTGACATCCTAAATTACCAAGGAGACATTCTTAACTCCTACAAATTGCTATTTCAATCAACGTCTACAAAAATTCTTAAGAAGTGAGCATTTCTTTTCAGGGCTAGCTGGATTCTCCTCTGATATATAGTCCCTTATAGTGAGTTATGATGCCTTCTTGATTTATATGCCATCTCCTAGTCTCTCTCTCCTCTGCAGATGTATCCAAATAAGCACTACTATTGTTGCATCTTTTATTCATTATGCAAATGTTTATTCAACATTGAAGGGAATGCAAAGATGCATGAGACGGCGTTCTAGTCTTGAAGGAGTTCACAGTTGAATGTAGACAGCTTAGGCTACACATTACACCAATGGCAGTGATAATAAATACTTTCACCTTTATTCATTTAAAAACTTTGCAATGACTTCACATTCACTATAAAGTCCCTTCTCTTTAGTAGGCTGCTCATAGTCCTTGACTAGCTATGTTCTAAATTCATTTCCTCCTCCATATACAATGTCAATTTGGGGAAGGAATATGATTATTTTATTTCCCAAGTTTCTGCAAATACTACTTCCCTTGTCTCAATGCCCTTATCACATCTCATGGCTTCTTACGATATAATCATTTTTTTAAAATGCAGTTTTATTCCCTCTAGTATAAAAATGTCTCTCTTGACCTTTACAGTTACCAGTTATAGTTCCGACTGTAAATTCATAAGGGTTTTTTTGACCAATTAGTGACATTTCCCATATTTTAGCTGTGTATTATATCTTAACTTCTAAATGTGTGTTTATCCTATATCATCCCCTGAAATGCTTAACACAGGTGTGATGCACACAGTATGTTGAGAAAATACCTGATGAATAAATTAACAAACGGAGGTGTTCACCACTTTATTATTTCTCCATCAGAGATAAACCAGAGCTGAGAATACCCAACATGGAGGGGTTAAGACTCCAATTTAAACATGAAAAAAAAAATGAAGCTTAAAAAAAATTCTAGGGAATGCAAAGACCTGCCATTGAATACTGGAGTGAAACAAAACATTTGCCAAAGGAAAAAGGACATGTTTGATAGAAACATTACAAGCCCCAAATTAATTTAAGTACCAAATCCAGCATCTATGGAAAAGGAGGAGACAGTTTGGCCAAGAAAGGGAACGTGCTTCTTCATAGGAGGCTTTGAGGGAACAGAGAGCGTTCCATTTCCTACTGAACTGAGTTAGTCATGTCTGAGGAGGACCCAGAATGAGACCTGCTCAGCATCCATGCAGTGATCTGTGTGGTTCCACTTGTGGTTAGGTTGTTTCCTGCATTGCTTCCAAGCGGCAGAATGAAATCCACAGCGGACTTTCATCAAAGGCCTCTATTATGCTATGTGCTCATGCATATGTCAGTGAATGAGATACTCTATGGTAGTGAGTTCTCATTCTAACTTGACAGTTCAGAGAACTGACTAAAGTATTAACAGATCTAATGGCCATGGCTACTAAAGTGACTGAGTTCCAATTTGAATGGTGATCTCATTCGATTCTTTTCATATCTTTAGTTTTTTCTCATTTTTTAAGATTTGTGAACTCCTTTTACAGTAATACCTATTCTTCTATAGCCCCATTAGAATTTAAAAATAATTATCCCACCAATTTTGCCAAGTGGAAGAAAAAGAACTGACAAGAAATTTGAAATTATATCAGATTAGTCTACTATATAATTATATTATACATTTTATTTTAAATAATATCCAATACCATTCCTAATCTTTGTATATAATACAAAATTCAATTTTTTCTCATGTAATAAATAAGGCACATTGCCTAATTATTTTTATATCTGTCTTGGGGGTTGGGGAAGGGAAGCATGATTTTTTTAATACAACTCCAAAAAGTGAAATATTGGTTTCAGAAAGAGATTAAATTTAACATCCTGTTATTTTATTTTTTAAAATATGATTTATATGCTGCATAGTAAGTGCTATCTGATAGGCATAACTTACAAATTTAGGGAGACTCATTTTGAGGTAAATTTGTAGAATTTTGTAGAATTATCATGTTCATATTTCTTATCAACTTGTTCTTTTTCTTTCCACTGTTATTCAGTAGTGAACTATGCACATAAATTAAACAATATAAGTCTTAGAACGAAACCTATTTGTAATTGAATAGCTTTCTAAACCACAACACCAAGTAAAATTCTGTTTAGGGATAAACAAAGTGACAGAATCAAAAGCAGAGTTATGAGACCTGTGGTAACCAACATGGTACTTAATTTTCTAAATAAGCACCCATAGGCTCTTTAACTACTTTATATTGGAGGTAAGCACATTGAAATGATTATTTTCTGTACCACTTTTTAACAAATGGAAATCGATACACGTTAAGAACGTGAACCTTCAGCATAACTTCGAGAACTACTGGAACTTCTGAAACTATTGGGAAGGGAATCATTTTGTAATCTGCTCTACCGAGGAGAGGGTTAATTAAGAAGGGCCTTTGCAGAGGGGAGATGAGTCATCATCATCACATGTGGGCAGCCAGCAAACAGTGAGGTGGAGTTCTGACCTTCAGCCTCTGTCACTAATTCAATGTGCAAATTGACTGCTGAGTTAGTAACGCAGCTATGTTGACATGTCAAAGACCAGATGAATTCACATTGCATTGGCTCCAGAGGTGACAGTAGAGCTTACAGCCTTTATTTATTTATTTTTATTGATACATCATGGCTGGTGCATATTTTTAGGGTTTGTGTGATAATTTGATACATTCACATAAATCAAGTTAAGTGTAATTGGGTTATCCATCACCTTAAATATTTATATTTTCTTTACTTATAGCCTTAATTGATGTGACTTTCAATGACTTAAACATATTAAATTCATCTAGCCATGAGAATTTAGCAGCTGAAATCTAACATTTGAAATGTTAACACTGGTGAACTTATAATTAAAGAATAATTTACAGAAAGTTGACCTAAAAGGTAAACTATGCGTTATTATTGATGGTCAGACTATCCAAGTATAAAATTCCATGTATGGATCATTTTATTTTTATTTTGCTTTGTTTTTAGTTTTGTGGGTACCTAGTAGGTATATCTATTCATGGCATACATGAGATATTTTTATACAGGTGTACAATGTCTAATAAGCACATCAGGGTAAATGGGGATATCCAGCATTTCAGGCATTTATCCTTTCTTTGGATTACAAACATTCCAATTATACTCTTTTAGTTATTTTTAAATGTACAAGTAAATCATTGTTAACTGTCATTACCTCATTGTGCTAACAAATACTAGCTTCAATTCATTCTACCTAACTATAATTTTGTACCCATTAAGTATCCCCACCTCCCTTCCCCCTGACTACCCTTCTCAGCCTCTGGTTACCATAATTCTATTCTCTATCTCCATGAGGTTAATTGTTTTTTTTTAATTATTTTTTTTTAGCTCCCACAAATAAGTGATCATTTTGTTTTTAAGCCCTGCCTTTCCATTACATAGAGGAAATCTGTCCAACTTCCATAAATATAATTGGGAACACTTTGCAAAATTAAAACTGTCTTTTTAGGCTTAGGTCTAAATGCCACTCATGTAATTACTCTCTCTAGTATTAGTCCTCCGAAATTTTGTCACTGGTTTTGAGGTTTCAATTTATTTAACGAACCTTTCAGAGTACAACAAAATAAAATGTCAGATGGGCAAAGTTAATTTTTTGAATTCCTGAGGGAAGTGAACTAGTTGGAGGACAAGATAATGTAAACTTAAAAAAAGAAACAAAGAAAGAAACCTAGAAACCTCATTATGAAAGTCAATAAATCATTTGTAATTTCCTTACAAACTTATGACTAGTAAACTCTATGTTAATTCAAGATGGAGTCTCTCTCTATCTTTCTCTCGCTCTCGCTCTCTAAATGTTTTACATTTTTCAAACCACCACATGGGATTACCATATAGGGTTTCCATAACCTAAGTCTCCTATAGAGGGCAGGCAACTAGTGATACCTTATCTTCCTTCAAGCTAGAAAGCCTTTGCAAATAATCAAGAAGTGGGATTGTTGGCATCTGCCAAGATTATTGAAGCAGTTGGTCCTTGTTTTCTGTAATGGTGGACTGAGTTTTGAGAAAAGGGTTATGGTTACATGAAAAACGTTCCATCATTAACACTAAAGGTACAAAAACAGCTGAAAAACATCTTTTATGCCTAAATCTCAGGGTTTTTGTTCAGTGATTTCGTATTCCCATCTTGAAGTGTGTGCCATTTTAATGACAACTCATTGTGTCCTAGAAAAACTCTACTTCATAATTTCCTTCTTTCATTATTTTACAAATAATGTGGCTGAAAACAAGAATGGATTCTTTTAAAAATATTTGAAGGTGTTAGTTATCAACCCTCAGCTTCAGAAGACTGGGTAACACAATGCCTTTTTGAAAATGAAATAAAGGCACAACTGGAAAAGTAAAAAAGATGTTTCCTGTGTCATGTACTCGTGTACATGAAGATCAGATTTAACAAACTCATGCACTAGAAGAGAGAAGAGGCACGGCGAAACAAGCAGGTACAACAAAGGTTGTAGCAAACATTTCAACTCCGTGTTTTCCCCATGTCTACACACTGACTTGCAAAGTTTCAGAAGGTGAAAAAGAACCCTAACCCTACTCTAAGAATACACACCTGCACTTGTTCATCCTATAGCTGTTTGAAGTAGTAGACTGATATAATTCTAGTGTGTTGTTGTTGTTGTTGTTGTTGTTTTTAGAGAAAGGGTCTCACTCTCTTGCCCAGGCTGGAGTGCAGTGACGTGATGTGATCTCAACTCACTGCAGCCTCGACCTCCCTGGGTGCAAGTGACCCTCCCACCTCAGCCTCCCAAGTGGCTGGGACTCCAGGCACATGCCACCTTGCCTAGCTATTTTCTTAATTTTTATTTTTTGTAGAGACGGGGTTTTGCCATATTGCCCAGGCTGGTCTTGAACTCCCAGGCTCAAATGACCCTCCTGCCTCCACCTCGCAAAGTGCTGGGATTACAGGCATGAGCCACTGTGCGCAGCCTAACCTAATTCCTGTATTTTTAACATAGCTAGCTAGCTAGCAAGCACACTTTTCTCTATGTCCAGCCATGGAGGAGTCAATGCACAACTGTGGACTCACATGTAGAATACCCTCTGAAATTCTTGACCTTCCTGGGTTGAGGAGTGTCCAAGAGAGGCTTGAGAGCCTTGAGAAGCTTCTGGAGCTTGAGAGACTTCCGTGGGATAGCATAAGAGGAGATCTCCTTGTACACATACTAATAGCTCATTTATTGAGCACTTACTATGTTCCAGGGAATGCTCTAAGCACCTACATGTGATGACCTCATTTAACCCTACAATAGCTTCATGTTAAAGTTACTCTTCTTACCCCATTTCACAGTTAAGGAAACAGAAGCATAACAACTAAGGGAAAAGATGGTGTTCACCCAGCTAGTCAATAACAGAGCAAAACTGCAAACTCAGCCATCTGGCTCCATGGCCTTTTCCTTCCTCCTTCAGTTCTGTTTTGCTTTATTGGAGAAGAGCTTGCCTTTTCCCCAGTAAAGTCGTTTTAATCACCTGCAGTGGATGGGGTACAGGACTTATTAGCAAGGTCTCTGGTGATTCTGCACTAATTTTAATTGCCCCTTTGTTATGATGGGATGTGGAGCGAGGGAGGTAAGGCTGAGCTGTGTGGGAAGCCAGGTTTTTCATGACTAAATAGCTTAACAAAGATGGATCCTGCCAGTTAGAACCCCTTTTAACCCCTTCCCCAAATTTAAGGTGTATTACTTTCTGATTTGGCTATGAAAAAGAAAAGTCGGATTTTTCTTATTTTGTTTGCTTCCTTAATTGGCAAAATTTAATCTGAAAAACTACACACACACACACACACACACACACACACACACATCTACTTTATTAAGCTTTCTCCGTTTTTCCTTTAAGTCGTATAGAGCTAAAAATGATACTTGAAGAAGAGACAAATGGGTAGGTTCTGCAATTGCAAATAGTTTTATTCTCTAAATGTGAAAACTAGTTGTGTTCATCAAATTATTTGCAAATTCAAATTCACAAATTGTTTGTTGTTCACCAAATTTTTCATTGAATGATGCTTTTCTACTAAACTTTCAAATTTATTATTTACTAATGTATTTATCTTTAACAGAGGGAACATTCAGTGGGAAAGAGAAAGAAAAAGATTTCCTTTTTGTTAAGTGTCTGAATAGTAGCCTAGTTTTGTTTGTTTGTTTTGGATATATACTCCACATATACCTTGCTACGCATGTATCTATGTAGGAAAAAATACTTAAAGGGAAATAAAATAGCTCAATTCAGGCATAGTTATATTGTCAAGACCCAGTTCCAATAGCAATCAAAATATATTACCCTGAAAATGATGTTTTATCTACAGGCATGATTGAATTGACTGTTATGATAGTGAATTTTTTTTAAAAAAATAAGAAAACAGACAAGATTTTTAAACTGACTAAATTGCCTTGGCCCTTGCTTAGCTAAGTACATAGGCAAGATTTATAACTCCAGTGATCTACAGAGCAAGTCTTGATATTATTCCTATACTATTCAATATTGCTGCCTCTTCTTACTCTGATTCAATATTAGATGCCTAAACTTAAAATAAATAAGATATTCTTAGAGGAGAGTCCTTTCAGCAAATCTATGATGATGATGGTGATAACAGCAGATATTTACTGAGTGTTACTACAGTTAAACGTTATATAGACATTATATCGTTCAACCTTTCTAACAACCCTATAGACTAGATGTTAATATCTCTTTTCATAGATGATGAAAATGAGCTTCAGGGCATTAAGTCAGTTACCAAAGATGGCTCAGTAAGAAAGATTAAATCAAGATTTAAACCCATGTGTTTATGACTCTAAAGCCCTTGCTTTTACTACTACAAATAACTCTTCATATTTATAATTTACGATGTTAATTTTCTCAAAATAAAAATTTTCAAAAAGACCACTGCAAAGTGAAAGATTTTATGCTGTAATGGAGAACATTCTACCATATATTCAAATTCAAATGGAGAAATGAGATATCCATGATTTAATTTCATTAGATTCAAGAAGATTTTTTATTTAGAATACTTAAATAATTTAATAATGTTTTATTTAGAATGATTAGATCAGTCCCATGATTTAGTTAAATAATTTATTTCAGTGATTTAACAATTATTTAATAGAATAATTAAATAGAATCATTAAATAAATTTTATTTAGAATAATTAAATAATTCCCATGATTTAATTTCATTGGATTCAGTAAGATTTTTTATTTAGAATTTTAAAATTCTAAATAAACTTTTTAATGAATTATAACAAATTGTTTATAAGGTCCTCCTGGCATATTTTGCACCAGCATGATAGAAATTTTGTACCCAAATTGCATTTTGTCTTTTTATGTATAATACGAAAACTGTAAAAATTTAAACATGGAGTTTAAGATATTTTACAGAATTTGAATGTCTGCCAATATGAGAAACAAAACCTGGAGGGAAATTCTGTGACTTTTCTATGTCTTTTTTGCTTTGAAATCAATTGCCATGGCTACTCATAGTTAATATTTTAATCAATCGTGTCATTAAGATTTCATATTGTTCATTAAAAAATTCACTGGCCTTGCTCATGGACACTATATTTCTTGCAATGTAATTTTTATTTTCAACAAATACAGTGGGATGTATGGGGAAGTTTTGTGTTATTTGGCAACTCCAGAAGGACGTCTACCTGCCTCTATAGAACTCTGCTGCTGTTGGTCAAAGGTGTTTCCAGGGCTTAAGATACAGAATTACTTGACTTCATTCAGTGTCGTGTGCTTTTTAGCCACTGGCAGAGAACTATATACATGTTTGCAACTCTTTCCATTCTTTTCCCTGCCACACACATACAAACAAAAATATGCTAATAAATCAAGGACTATGCAAAAAAAGGGGCAAAGTCAGGTTCATCAGAGCCATGTCCATTTTAGCACGCAAAATATGCATAATTAATGTAAAATGAGGGAAATAGAATTGGCAGAAAAGTGTGCATTGGTTTTATCTTTGAGGGGCAGATGAGACTTTATTTTCAATGAGTATATAGTGTTTTTGAAAGAAAATAGAAATATGAAAAATAATATGATAGAAATTTTAGTAATCATGAAAAAGTAGTTATTTTGATTAGTGATTTGTTTCTAAAATTGTTTGAACAAATCTTCATTAATATTTCTGAAGAAGAGGGTCTAAAATATAAAGTGATAATTATTGTATGTATGCACTGTTTCAATAGAATACGTGTTATGATTTGAAAAAAAACAAAAAGGTTAGAATAATTTTGCTTTCCATTTTTAACTTCTATTATATTCTAGAGAGGAAATAAAGACCTTGACTTATATAAATTAGTTTTGAACCAAAGGACCAAAGTTAATGAATGCTTAGGATTTTGCTTTGTTTTGTTTTATGATGATGAAAAAAATATATTTTCATACAGCAATTTACAAAAAGTACACAGACTATAGACAACTAGAAGTAGATAAATAAACCAAAATAGAATTAAATCAAGGCAAACAGTACACAGTAGGAAAGTAAGAAACCAGGAATGTGATTAATACACAAAATACATTACAGAGTAATAAATCAATGCAAATAGTATGAAAAACTCCCATCTTCCTCACAATATTCTCTCCATAGTCTCCCCTATTTGGCTAGGTGGTCAAATACTTCTGGACTACAAAAAAAAATAAGGCTGCCTATGGGAATTTGATCAGATTCTTTCTGTGCTGATTCTTGACTGGTTGTTAGCATTACTGATCCATGCTGTGCCTGAGACTGGCTTTCCTGAATACTCTTTCTAAAACGTACCTGCTCATGCCATGCTCTTGCTTAAAATCCCTCGGGGTCTCCAGTGTGAAAGAACACCCTTCAAAACCTAACCATGTCATGGAAGAAGCTCTGTGATCCTGCTTGCTTCTCAATTATGCTCCATCTCATAGCCATCTTCACCACCACAATTGTTCAACAGTTTTCTCAACAGGACCAACTTTGCTTCCTATTTGGGCATTTTTATGTGTTGTTCCCATAGTTTCATTTTTCCCATGTTCCATTTCTCTGTCTTTATATATATTACCATTTCATCTTTAACAGCCAAATACTACCTCTCCTGAAAAACCTTCTCCAGTATCCCCAGCTCTGGAGATCCAGGCTGATGTCTCTCCTCTTAACACTGCTCTCTGTAATTATTTTCTTACAAGCATTTGCCTTCTGGACTATGAGTCCTGGATGGCAGGGCTTGGTTTGAATGTTGTTAGAATCCTCAGCACTGAGGTTAGTCATCAGCTCACTGTAGGTTTTTAATAAATGGTTGGTGAGTAAACTAGGTAGGGACGAAACAAAGCAACCTCATAGAAGTGACTGTCCAGTGGGAGGAGTATTCATGCTTACACAGGATTCAGAGCTTACAGGAAATAACACATTGTCATAATATGCCAGCGCAGTGTCTCAGCCACATATACAACTCTCTTCCATATCATACAGGGAGAATTGTCCAGGTATCTTCCCAAATTTATAAAAGTGGAGATTCTGCATCTCAAAATTTGTTTTCACAAAAGTCATTTCCACATCTAGTCCACATGAACAAATACTGAAGGCATACAACACAAGATTGGTTTGAATTGCATTCAAAGGGTGCCATTGGTCTTTTCTCCTGGTAAATCGCATGCTTCAGTAATGACTTTCCAAACTATCTGATCAAACAGAACTATAAAGGAAGAAAGGTGAGTATTTTTTTTCCCCATGGAATCGGAAATGACAATTTGGAGAAGTTCACAACTTCAGTTAATATATTTTGAATAATCCAACTAATAGCATCATATCATTTGACAGTGTGACACTGTGATATAATATTAATAAAAATATATATAGATCTGCTCTCTGCCCTGGTTTCTAGCACACAGCTCCTAAAACTCTAGGAATCTGGGGAGTGTTAAGAGGAGGTTTTTGTATGCAAATGAGATGACTGGTGGTTGAGGACTCTTAAACAGCTTCAGGATGGCACTGGTCACCAGAAAGAACAAGGCAGGATTAGAGGGTTGGGGCTTTCAGCCCCATCCGTAGATTTCTCAGGAGGCAAGAGGGACTGAAGATTCAGTTGATCATCAATGGCCAAAGATTTAATCAATCATGCCTACATAATGAAGCTTCCATAAAAACTCAAAAGGACTGAGTTCAGAGCTTCCAGATCACTGAACAGGTGGGAGTCTCTGTGAAGTGGTGTGCTTGGGGAGGGCATGGAAGCTCCACACGCCTTTCCAGGTACCTTGCCCTACACATCTCCTCCATCTGGCTGTTCTTCCGTATCTTTTGTAATACCCTTCCTAATAAATGGGTAAACTGAAGTAAGTGTTGCCCTGAATTCTGTGAGCTACTTTAGCAAATAAATTGAACCCAAGGAGGAGACTGTGGGAATCCAGATTTCTAGCCTGTTGGTCAGACTCACACATCGCAACCTGGGGCTTGCAATTTGAAGTGGGAAGAAGTCTTGTGGGACTGAGCCCTGAAGCAATGGGATCTGATGCTTTCTCCAGGTAGAAAATGCCAGAATTGTACTGAATTAGAGGATATCCAGCTGGTGTCTGCTGGAGAATTGCTTGCTTGGTGAGTGGGAGAAAAATCCCATACACATCTGGTGTCAGAAGTGTTGTGTTGAGATTAGGAAAAACACTTTTCTTTGTGTCTACTAATAACCAGAAAAACTAGTTTCTGAATTCCACCACTCCCAAATTCAGATACTGTATGTGGGTATATTAACATATTGAGTAAAATCCCTGTTTAATTTCTAGCATAATGAACATTAAAATCTGACAACTTTCTGCACTTTGTATATGAAGCTTAATTCCCTGCTCCTAGGTCAGAAGGAATACTGTTTTACATCCTTAATTCAGGAGTGGTGAAACATGGAAATTTTCATCTATGTTTTTATCCATGGGGATCTCCCTTGTATGGCTACAGATGGTAAATAAAAAGTTTATTCAGGGTGGTCACTGATTACAACATATTGTGGTTGATTGTTAGCCATAACTATAAGTGCTGGAACAAATTAGTGAATTTCATCTTTGAAAATAATGAGAATATGATTTTTCTAAACTATTAAGATTTTAGAAAATAAACATTCTGCTAACATTTAGCAAAAAGCTAATTTTAATTCATTTTCTTTTATTGATTGCTAATAGTCTCCCAATAGGGCTTATTTTCTATATTAAGCTTACTTCCCAAATCATCATCTGCCAGTTCACTGAAGTATGGCCCAGGCATTGACCAAAAGGTTTCTTTATATCCCCACAATCTCATACTTAAGTTAGGACACAAACGTTTCTCTTAGGTTCTTTCTTCTTAGAGTAAGGAATCTATTTTTGCCACAGGAGTACATTTGATATACCATTTTGTCTCTGATGGCACATTTCTGCCAAAATCACATACTGACTACAATTCTTTGGATAATAACAATAAAAAAAGCTAGCTGATCACAACACTCTGATCCTTCAAGTGGAGTTAATAGCAGTAAGTTGAAGCCATAATTCACATCATAAGTTACATAGCAGTTGTGAAAGAGGTGACTTTTCATGCAGAAATACAGTAGCACTTAAACATTGAAAAACTACTTTCTGTACTGCTATGTGAATAGTCTAGGGGAAAAAAAATACCTGATTATTTAGTATTTTCTCAGGCAAAACTCCCAATAAATTTGATGAGAAGTTTCCCTTAGTAAATAGTGCAGAATTAGCTCATTTACTTTTCCTTGAGCTATTTTATGGTTATGCAATAAAGTAGAATATACATGCCCAATAAAACTTGTTAAGAGTCAGCTAAGGGATGTGTACTTATTCTTCTATTGTATACAAATAAATGCGTGAAGTATAGATCTTTATTTCCTTAATATTTATTGTTATTTCCTATCTTGACGTAAGAACGATTCTTCAAGAACTTTGATAAATACAGTGAAACTAAACAACCATTCAGTCTACTCCAATGAATTTGCATCTGTGTTTCCCATGATGATGCTGCATTTTGTACTCTTTCATATTTTAGAGTGGGCATGTCACATCCATCAATAGTTGGGAATTGCACTCACTATGAAGCACAGCCCTAACACATAGAAGTGGCAAACTGATGAAAAAACGAATTGAAAAGCAATGAAGCAATCCCTAATGAACAGGAGAACATGACTTGTTTAGCACTAAAAAATCGATGAGGTGAAACAGTTTCCCCCACCAAATGAATACGGTGAAAATCAACCTATCATTGAACCCTGTAATTTCTCATCTTCATACCAACCATATACATGGAACCACCATTCTAACGCGCCTGAGTTTTACCATTGAGAGCAAGATAAAGTATGTTTCTTTATCTTAAGTAAAGTCTCTCACTTACCCATTAACCCTTTGCATTTTGATGTTTTGAAGACTTTCAATAGTCAGCAATAACCTTGTGTTTAACAAAGTTAAAGTTTTTAAAGTTCTTCCTACTCTAACAGCTGAAGCATGAAATTCTTCTAGGACGGCTTCTGTGAGCTGACACTCTACTTGTTCTCTTCCCATTGAAGAACGTCTTTTAATTCTGCTATGGTATTATTTTCCCCCTTAACTTTTATCTTACCCCATAAATGACAGTATTGCTCAAAGCTTCTGCTTTACACCTTTATCTCTTCTCTCTTCCTGCTTCCTTTTTCTTACCACTCATCTACCATTTTCAGAACTGACTACCTCTATCTCTATGCAGTTGACACCCAAATGTACAATTGCAGTTCGTTTACCATACAAGAATCAGTCCGGAATTTCAGCTTCCACTCAAATATGTATGAGAATTTCCTCTGGGTGGTTGAATGCCCTGGCCTCAGGCTGGCTTTGTCAGCCTTAATTCATGTGTCCAGTATGATCGAGCCACAATACTCCTCATGGAGAACACAAGGATGGCAGGACACAGCCTCTGTTCTTTCACAGTTTGCAAACATATAAACAGACAAAAACAATGGAACATGACAGCTGGTGAAATAGAGCAAAGCTCTGTAAGGACACAGAGCATTTCTTCCTTGTTGTGTCCGCATTTATTCTATTGTATCACTGTTTTCCCATACTCCACACTGGAAACCTCAGATTTATCCTTTGTTCTTCCAGTTGACAATTTCCTCTAGCTTTACTTCTGATTCATGGTTTGAAGGAGCCTCCTGCTTTATACACCTTTGCCTTTTGACTGCATCTCCTCCTATAATAATACTTCCATAATCCCATTACTTCTGCCTCTGGCTTCCCTAACATGGATATATTAAGGACTCTCCATGATGGGTCCCAACCTGTTTTCTGTTTCTGCTTAATACATGCTCACATTCACAATCAAACAGAGCTCCATGATATTTTCCAAACAGATCTTTTCGCTAAAAATGTATTTTTTTTTCCTTCAAGTTACTCTTATTCTTGGCTCAGAAAATTGAATTCCTATATGTTATCAAGGTTTGGATAAAAATCCAGTTGCCAAGTAATATTTACTAGTCCTTCTACCTAAACACAAATTTTCTTTTATGAATTTTCAGAGACATTTATTTACACAATTTTCAAACTTAGAATATTTCGTGATGCATTACAGTTTTATATACCCATACAAATGTGCGTGTGCGTGTGCACACACACACACACACACACACATAGTCCTTCTCTCATTAGATGAAGAGATAACAGTGGAAAGAGCTAGGTTTTGGAATAAGATAGATCTTCCATTTACAAGCTACAATAGCTTATTCAAGTTACCAACCTCTCTGAGTCTTCATTTTCTCATCCATAAAATTAAATGTGATAAATAATGCAAAGTACCTTGTAGTAGAATACATGGCATATTGCAGGTATTCAGTAAAGGCTAACTGTAATAACAATGAATAATGGAAGTAGAAACATTGTGAAAAGGAACTATGCTCTCCTACTCTGTTATTTTTGACAAGGTCTAACAGAGGCCTTTGCCTGTACTTGACTCTCAGTAAATGCATTTTCTATGAATGAATATATAGATGTGTTATACTTCTTAACAATATGATTTTCTGTCTAAGAACTCTTCAATGATGCTTCAGATTTCAGATTATCTTTTGTGCTTAACACTACTTTCAGCACATCTTGGATTCTTTTTCCATACCCATTTGTCCCTCTTATAGTTACAGAGTTTCTATAAAACCATCATATTAGACACCTATTCCTTGATCTTCCAAACTTTCTCTTTCTAGGACATTTTCTCCATTTCCCGAAATGCTTAATTATCACATAGTTGATATGCACTTTCTGGAGCCCTTAATTATCACACAGTTAATATGCAATAGGAGATAATTTCATCAATTCCCCATTCCTCTAGCAGCCTCATCCTGTTGGTGTCCTGGAGCAAGCGCTCTACCCAACGACTTTTCCTGGTTTCCTCAAGGCTTCAAAGGGCAGCATTTCCAGGCAGTGGCAGAGCCAGAATCTAAACACAGCTACACATGAATTTAGAGTGTAAACGCTCAACTATTTACAATCCTACCATCTCTTATTCTCATGTCTTCTGGTTTTTTTTATTTTATTTATTTTTATTTTTTTTTATTTATGGCCGGGCGCGGTGGCTCACGCCTGTAATCCCAGAACTTTGGGAGGCCAAGGCGGGCGGATCACGAAGTCAGGAGATCGAGACCGTCCCGGCTAACATGGTGAAACCCCGTCTCTACTGAAAATACAAAAAAAAAAAAAAAAAAAAAAAAAAAATTACCTGTGCGTTTTGGCGGGCGCCTGTAGTCCCAGCTACTCGGGAGGCTGAGGCAGGAGAATGGCGTGAACCCGGGAGGCGGAGCTTGCAGTGAGCCGAGATCGCGCCACCGCACTCCAGCCTGGGCGACAGAGCGAGACTCCGTCTCAAAACAACAAAACAAAACAAAAACAAACCAAAACAAAACAAAACATTTATATCTCTCTTATGTTAAGGATAAAAATTATTTACATTGATTTTTTAAAGCTTAAATAACTAACAAAATTTGTTCTAAACCCATCACACACAGGTGAAAATGGAGGCTTAGAGCATTTCAAGGGCTCACAAACGACAAGGTTCGAAAATAATTTCCATAAGAATATAGATCAGTACAAACGTTGCTAACAGGTATGAGAAGGTGACGATCATGAAGAAAAATTATTTTTTTCATAGACTATTTTAAACATATATGATATAGAAAATATATTCCGAAAGGAAAAGTATGTGAATAATTACGCTCATTCACAAAACATTTTCTAAGCACTTTATAAAAATTACAAAAGTTTGCCACATACGTATTTCATCATGTATGCTTTCATGCATGTTTTTGAAGTAATTTTGGAAATAAAATATTTGTACAATTTTAAATATGTACAATATTTACCTTTAAAATGAAATATAGGAATTTAAACACTTTTTTTGGTACACTGTGGAAGCTATTATCTTGAAATTCTCCAGCCTCTTCTAGCACTAAATGTTCTATCAGTATACTAAATGTTTTCTATAGTAAAGAATAATTTGAAATAACTACTCAAAATACGGAGTTGTCTATGTTATCCTATGCTTTGCAAATATATATATATATATATATGATTAGGTTAGGTTTAAAAATATTTTGGCAGGACAAATATTTTTCTATACCTATAAAAGTTAAAATACAATTTTCCAAAAATGAGAAAATTATAACTCTCATGTGATACTAGAAGAAAAAGTATAAAATTATAATATTACTCAACTTGATTACAGATGGAACTAGTAAGATGTTAAAACTGGTCCAAAGAGCATTTGACAAAGAAATAATTATAGGCAGTACTGGAATAGGTTTTCCGATTTACGTATGAAGCTTGTTAATGTCCAACAGGGCCATAAACTGTGACCTTTGAAGTAACCTGTTCCATTTGATAGAATTATCTGCATCTCTACTGGACAAAAATCTACACATTAACTTCCACCTCTACAGAGTTGTGAAACAACTCAGACAATAGTCATTCAAGCCTAGCACTGCTCAGAAAGAACACCCTGGAATATCTCTTGCCTGTTTCCAAGTTTCAGATAATATTTCTGACCTGGCTATTTTTGACAATGAGGTAATACACTCCAAAATATATTCGTATGTATATAACATGCATTGGCAACATTTACTCAAAATATTTATTCCTTACGCTAGAATACTTTGTATCTTCATTCCTGTGTTGGCTTTAATGAACTGAGGGCAGGGTGCCCATATCAAATTCCCCTGAAATGCTAACTGCTGAAGAAATTTTAGAAAATCTGTAAGAAAAAAAAATGACTGAAGATCTAAGAAAAGAAGAGAACACAATCAGATATACCCATGGAAATAAATAAAGAGGAATTAAATAAAAAGCCTTCTATATATAACCCATTGCCCATAGTAATTCCTATTTTCTGACAGTCCTACCAACAATTCATTAACAATTTATCTGAATCTATCCATCTATCTTTACTAATAATTACACATTTTTACTTTACAAGAAAAATATACATATCAATGGCACTACATTTTATCATAAAATATGTACTAAAATAGCACAAATGGAAAAAGTGTTTTAAAGTAGTTAGTAAGAGACCTATTATTATACCTATTAAGATGTAATGCAAAGAACTACATTAGTCTATTTATAGACATATTATAGTGCCTCTTTGTCCCAAATTGATTTCCTGTATCTCCAACAGTGCCTGTCTTGAATAATATCTTGATTTATCCACTCAGGTATTTAATGGGCACCCAAAGCATACCCAGTCTAAAACACTCCTGATTCCCCAGGCTTCTGTACCCACTGTCTTCTCTGCCCCATTGTCTTCTCTACCCCTGTCTACCCAGCAGATCACATTAAAAAACTGGGGGTCATCCTTCAGTCTTGTATTTTTTCTACCCTCAATATTGAATCCCTCAAAAAGCATTTTGGCCTTCTGACCTCTCCTAACCATTGCCACATCTACCACCACCACATCAGTAGACATTGTGAACTTCTCCCTGAATTAAAGAAATATATTCTCCCTCATGTCACTGTTTCAAAACCCATGTCTCTAACCAGTCTCCTTATTCAATAGGCAACAGCAAAACTCTTCTTCTAAAGTCATGCTATATCACTCCCATGCCTTTTATCTTCCAATGACTTCTCATCCCAATAAGAAAAAAAAAAAAATTCAAAACTTTACCATGACCTAGAAGGTGCTGTATGTCCTGATCCCTGGGTAGCTTCCTGACCTCACCTTGTGCCTTAGTTTCTGAAATCAGCAGGTCTTTTAGTTTCTCCAAAAGGCTTTCCTCCTTCTCAAGATCTTTCTTTCAGATTCGTTAAGAGCAATCCCTTTCACATACTTTATAACATTTATCAGAGAGGACTTTCCTGACTCCAAAATGTATTCCCAACATTTCCTATCCCTTTAACCAACTTTCTTTTTCTTTGTATTACTAAGCACTCAGTATGTTTTATTTCTTATTTATAGGCTTACACTTATTCATTGTCTGTGTTACTCACTAGAATGAAAGTTCCACAAAAACACGGCTGTTTTTCCTGTGTTTTGTGGTATCTTCATTGCCCAAAACAATACCTGGCATATGGCAGGCATTACATAAATAGTTGTTGAATGAATGAATTAAAAAGCAAATGATTAAGAGAATAAAATAGAAAATATCAACTTAAAGTTTTTATTGTCTCATACACATCATTAAAAATGCCAAACTACTGTCACTTTGTCCAATTTTTCAAGAACAATGTTCTTTCCTTTCTAGGTTTACATGAAGTAATTTCAAGTAGGAAAATTTTATTCTATTAATACAGAAGGAAACCAGTAGTCACATAAGTGAGCCTTCTAAACAAATGATGTTTGATAGAACTTTGAGAAATGTACGTATTATATCAAAATAATTTTTACCTGTGTCATTTGTCATATTATTAAACATAGATTCCTTGCCTTTCCTCTGTTGATACTATGTTTATAAACATACTCTACTGATAATAAAATTCTCATCAAAATATAGCCCTAAGATTTACCTACAGCTTTGATGTTTTATATTCTGATGATAATTAAGTAGAAACATTTAAATTCTTGCATATTTCAAAATGGACTCCCGAAAACAGTCACACAGAAATTTTTAGCACATACTTAAGCTTCTTTCATGAAGGCTGTTTTTAAAAATTACAATATATGTTCTAGAGATCAGCAAAAACAGCAGAGAATCCTAATTTTACAATTAGACCAATGGAAAAAAATCTAATACGTCAAAAATTGAACCTTATAATAATTAATAGAGTTCCTTATTTTGTTTTTATTAAGGTGCATACACATTATGACCTTTCTTATTCCTAATTTTGTCACTATTCCTGATAGAAAGGAATAAGAAGAAATTTAAATAAAAATAGTATTATGCATTATGAGAAGCAATGTGATGAAGATCAGTAAGGTCTTACTAAAATGCCATACCATACTAACAACCTTTGGTTTCGATAGGATTACTTGACCAGAAGAAGAGCAATAGACTTGGCTGTACAGAAAGGGCCCAGCCCGAGCATATTTATTTCCTGCATTCCCCTTGGGTTAGAAGGGCTTGACTACATGGGTAAGACTACAGCTTCGCCTTATCATCTCTTATAAAGAACGACACATTTAGGCCAGGCATGGTGGCTCACGCCTGTAATCCCAGCACTTTGGGAGCCCGAGGTGGGTGGATCACTTGAGGTCAGGAGTTTGAGACCAGCCTGGCCAACATGGTGAAACCCCGTCTCTACTAAAAATACAAAAATTAGCCAGGCATAGTGGTGGGTGCCTGTAATTCCAGCTACTCAGGAGGCTGAGGCAGGAGAATTGCTTGAACTCAGGAGGCGGAGGTTGCAGTGAGCCGAGATCGTGCCACTACACTCTAGCCTGGGTGACAGAGTGACACTCCACTTTAAAATAAATAAATAAATAAATAAATAAATAAATAAATAAATAAAATAGTGATCCTAAGAGGTCATTAAAAAAAAGAATGACACATTTGCCACTTTTTTCACTAATAACCAATCCATAAGACTTAACCTTCACATTTGAGAGAAATGACATGCAACCTGCATACTGAATTAATGATATAGACTCAACTCAGAATTGAACTTCTTTACCTACTTGTCAATAATATTACAGCAGTGCTGGCTGCCCACATGTGATGATTCCAGACTGTCTGATTCATCTCCTACCTGCAACTGGTACTCTTTAATCCTCTCACCTATGGATGGGCTTAGGAAACTCTTCCCTTACCACTAGTTTGAGAAGTTGTAATAATTCATAAAGGAATTATTAGGATTCATATATTATTTTTTGAGATGGAGTCTCACTCTGTCACCCAGGCTGGGGAACAGTGGTGTCATCTCAGCTCACTGCAGCCTCCTCCACCTCCCCTGTTTAAGCAGTTCTCCTGCCTCCGCCTCCCAAGTAGCTGGAATTACAGGCACACGTAACCCCACCCAGCTAATTTTTGTATTTTTAGTAGAGACAGGATTTTGTCACATTGGCCAGGCTGGTCTCAAACTCCTGACCTCAAGTGATCCACCCACCTCGGCCTCCCAAAGTGTTGGGATTACAGCCATGAGCCACCGCACTCGGCCACGGTTCATATTCTTAATGTATGTTGATTTCCATTCTTTAAAAAACAGTACAGAAAATAATCATTTTAATATGTTTATTTTCATAATACAATAGTTTAAGAACCTATGTGTGTTTAATTAAAAAATTACGTATTATCTAGGCTACCACATATTTAATGACCCTGCTTTTAATATATTTTAAATTACCTCAAGTCACTGACTTGAGGCACAAAGGCTATTAAAGTCACAGATTTAGGCAAACTCTAACTCACAGCCACATTCAGATGATCAGATGAGATAGCATGTTATCAAATGCCTTTAAAACTGTGAATTTTATCTAAGTGTCTTAATTTCTTACAAATAATAGTTGTCTATTAAGTATTTATTATAATCAAGCACAGTACTATGTGTGCTTTAATTCTTTTCTCATTCCATCTTCATTACAATATAAGAATTCATGATCAATTCCATTTTCCACATGAGAACATAGATATTCATGGTAGAGTCACTAGGACCAATTATATCTCCTTGCTAAAGGAGGTATAACTGGTAAATGATGAGCAAGGAATTGAATATAAGTTTATCTAACGTCATCCCTGTGTTCCATCTACAATACTTCCACTGCCTCCAGAGAAAGAAAGAGCTCAAATAGGGTAACAGTTTTCAAAAGTGTAAAGTCCATTATTTACCAACTCTGCCAAGTCTGGTAAGGTGTAGGGTAGATGGTGCCATGGATATAGTTAACCCTTCTCTAATTTTCCTAAGGCTGACATGGATGTTTTAGCTATTTTCTATTTGAATCGTTATATAAAACATGCTTTGTAAGTTTAATAACCTCTTTAATCACTGAGAAGATATGGGGCTTCTCTTTGGAGTCTCTATCAATGATGACATTCTTAACAAAATAGTTGATGGATGCCTAGGATGTGCCAGGTACTTCTTAGGACCTGTGGGAATTATTAGAAAACACTGTTCCGTGGCTCAGTCTAGATGAAAGAGACAAAATGTAATAAGCACAATAAATAATAAATTATATAGAATGTTAGAAATTAAGTGTTTGGAAAATAGCACAATTTAAGAGAGTAGTAGCACAGGCGAAGGAGAATGGGAGCAAAGCTGTAATTTTAAATAAAATTGTCAAGACTGACATTGTTGGCAAAAAGACATTTGATCAATGAGGGGATGGAAGTAGGGGGCGTTAATTATATGAACACAACAGAGACAATAGAGAAGACTTTGGCAGGCAAAGAAAATAATCGGCACAAAGGCTTTAAACCCAGTGAGTTTAAAGCAGAATAAGGAAGAAGAGCCAAGATAGGGATGGGAGCTGGAAAATCATGGTCTCACCTGCCTTCATAAGAACTTTGACTTTGACTCTAATGGACACATGAGCCACCAGGAGTGCTTGACTGCAGGAATGACATGGTCTAATAATGGCAGGGTCTCCTCATTATATAGGGGTCAGTTTGGGTGCTGTATTGAAAGTGGATTTTAGAATAAAGAAACAGGGAAAGATGGAGACTAGTTAGAAGGTAATGTTGTTAATCCTGGTGAGACATGATGATGGCTTAGTCTAGGGTAGCACAAGGTGATGAGAAGTGTTTGGATTCTGGATATTATTTTTAGTAAGAGCCAATAGGACTGTCTTAAAGATGACTGGGAAAGCTGCAAGGAACAAGTTTAGGTTTGGAGTGAGATCAGAGAAAAGCAAGACTTGAGATTTGGCTATGTAGAGTTCCAGACACCTATTAGATATCATATCTTGTCACTATCTTGTGTTTGTTGAAGTCATCAGTAACAAGTGTGGTGACCTTCCCTTGAACTCAAGTGCAACCACAGAGTCCTTCCCAGTAGAGTACTCCTGGTAACCACTGCCAGTAGAGATAAGCTTACATTAGACAAGGAAGTACAAGGAAGCTATTTGCCATCACTCTGAATTGCTGGTTGTTAACTGAAGCATTAACCAGCTGCATAGGTAGATGTTTCTTCTACCTGCTGACAAATACTTATGCTTTTACCTTTTTTTTCTTTTTTTTCTTTTTTTTTTTTAGACAAGGTCTCACGCTGTCAGGCTGGAGTGCAGTGCCATGATCACAGCTCTTGACCTAAACTCAAGCAATCCTCCCACCTCAAACTCTCAAGTAGCTGTGACTACAGGCATGCACCACCACACCCTGCTAAATTTTAAAATTATTTGTGGAGATGGGGGTCTCACTATGTTGCCCAGCTTGGTCTCAAATTCCTGGCCTCAAGAATCCTCCCACCTTGGCCTCCCAAAGCACTGGGGTTTCAGGCATGAGCCACCATGCCCAGACTGCTTTTATTTTACATATGCATCTGAGGTAGAGACTCATTTAGAGTGCATTACTGAGATCATTTTGTCAGTGGAATGTGGTCACGTTAGAATTACATTTCTCTGAAAGTATGTTTTCTTTTTGACTTGGGGTCATTAAAACCTTGAGATAATTTACACACATTATAAGCCATAAATTCGAAATTACATAATAATGTATTCTGCAATTCTGTGTATTTCTACACAGCTTGTTTAGCAATAAAATAAAATAAAACAAAACTCAAAGGTGGTCTTTTTTGTTTTCCTTTATACTTTATATAACACTTCTGATAAACTCCAACTCTGGGTCAACATCTCATTCCAATAGCACTTGAAGGTCAATACTAACCTGCTTGATTTTCTTCAAACAGAGAACTGTTTTTCAGACAGTATTCTAACTTGATGTATCTATGTGAAAAGGGAGATGAGGTTAAGTCAGCCATCAAAGCAGATTGTTTACTGAATAAGGATAAAGTTCAGAGAGGAGAAAGGGAGGAAACAACAACTCATCCCCATTGTTGCAGTTATTGTAATTACCAGGATCTAGGAAGTAACAATAATTATGCCTAAAGGAAAAAAGAAGATAAATATAACAGCTCAGTGTCTCTATGCACCAAGACAATTAATGCACTGGATGAGAATGTCAGGATTCAGGAAGATCTTGGCAGATTGAGTGACAGGCAGAAACTGACAGAAGGGTATTTAACAAGGATAAGTTAAGTTCATAATTTAAGAACTTTTATTTGGATGAACATATAATTTTGTATAAGTATTCCAATATTTTAAAGATAGGAAACATCTGTTACAGTTTATAGAGAAAAGACAGGAAGCCTGGACATCTGGCATCTGGTTCCAGATCTTCAGAAAACTACATATGTGACCTTGGCACATCGCGGTAAAAGCTCCGTTTTCACCACTCTCAAAATGATGGAGGCCTGACTTTATCAGTAAGTCCTTTCCCTTCCACATGTAAAAATTGCTATGAGCCTAGATACTGACTGACATGATGTCAATAAAGTAACACAGCTAAACAATTTCTCCAGGTTTTAGTCACTGCATAAAATGCAGTCATACTATATATATGCACTTCCAATAAGTACATACCCCAGATAACTTAAAAGATAAGCTCCAATGCATGTGTTTCCCAGGTCTTGTAGAATTTTCCTTTACCTTGTCAGAGTCCAATTCCACAAGAAGGCAGACACAGAATTGTATTCTTGGAAAACACTGCCTAATGTTTATTTAATAACTTTGTTGAAAATCCTATCATATATAAAAATAATACACAAAACGATTTGTAGGGTGTATGTTTAATGAAAATTAAATATTAATCTAATAAGAATTACTTTTTCTTTTCTTAAAGTCTGAAAGTCACTGACTCTCATCTGATTTCATTAAAGAAAAAAATCACAGAATTTTATAAGTCAGATTTCTCCTTGGATTCTATATTACACCTTGCCTCGTTTTTGGTCAAAATATAACTCATATTTTTGCGGTCCTGAGAAAGTTTCTTCAGAAAAGATTGACAAAAATAAAGCTCTATGAGGCTCCCTACTGCAGTGTGCGTAACAGAAAAGAAAATAAGAACTCCATCTAACTACATGCTGCAGCTGAACAGGCCAGCTCCTGGATATTGCATGAAATTCCGCTGGGTGCCCGAGAGCATTGTTCTTCAGAACCCAAGAAGATTTTATCAGCTTTCTGTTGACAGTGCAAATCCAGAATTAGCTACAGTAAGCAGAATAATCAATTAATAGTTTTTGGCCTTCTGACCTTCTAAAAATCCCTGCCGACACACTGTACAGGTACTGCTGAATTAAACTGTGATTGGCAGGAACGTCTCACGAAGAGGCAAACAGACAATTTCTGTTGTGGTCCTATACCAAATTTACCATCAATATGCTGAACAACATCTCCTATTTTGACAGAAGATCCAATATGGAGACTAAAAAGGCTGCGGGATGGTGTCTTCATAGCACTCCGATATTTTCATTATTGCATTGGAGAGCCAGTGTTGGACTAGGTGCTGATGGAAATTTGAACGAGAGTTGAGCGATTAATTCAACTGGGTCTTAAAAATATAAACCTGCATCTTTCTCGATACAGTGGTGAAACTGATGTATTCAAGATGAAGTTTCCAGCCTGAATGCTTTTATAGGTGGAAAATGAAAAAGTTTAGAAAATGGAAACGATCTAATGAAAAACATAACATATCCCATTTTGAACGTGATCATTCAGCCAGGTAAAGTCTGAGGTTTGTCTGCCAGTACTTTAATTGTATCCCAGGCAATGGAAGAGTTATTCATTTATCAAGGAACAGAGATGACCTAACTCAGGCTGACTGCAAAGCTCTCAGAAGCCCTGAAGCTTTGGACTTTCAGCTGCCCAGCCACCAAGATCATTTCTGCAGGCCTTTTAGAAATAGCCTCACATCCTCACGTACCAGTTTTTCTTTAGTTCTACTACTGTGGCAGAAGAGATTAGTTTGCAGATAACTGTATTCAAATTTTAACCACATACCCTGGCTGAACACAAATTTCCTTTATCCTTTGAGCAATTGCCGTGTACAAGAGGCACCATTCACAGAACGTTTAAAGCTGCTGCCCATGCATCCCTGCCTGGTCCACCTCTTTCCATCCCACCTTGGGAAAAAGCATTACTTTGTAATTTTATTGTAATTGATATTGGAGCGAGACAACTGATAATTTTTTCAGGTTAGAGATTTCATATATACGTTCTGCTGTATGATACTTAGAAGATGATTTTATGTGATTATGTAATACAAAGTTGTCTTTATTTTAATAAAATGATTAATACTTTCAGTGTGTATAAATGTGTCAGCCTAATGTCACATAAATATGGACATTAATAAACATTCAGTGAACACCTAAATGGCAATGTTATCATTGCCACTCTACTGTTTCCATTATTGCAAATGTTAAGGAAACGTGTACCTTATATTTAGACACGTGTAATTTCAAGCTTTTCCCTAATGTCAAGTCTACAGGCATGCTGTCATTGTTTTGGTAAACCTTTCCTTTACTTTTAATTTAGGGGCAATGTATTGACCTTTGCTGAAGGTATCCATTGCCCTATAATTAAAACAATATTTTCACAATGTAAAAGATAAAACTTCAAACGTAAAACAACAACTAAAATCTGTAATATTTTGCTACTCTGTATATCTGAATCTCCTTTTCATGTAAATGTTATTTTGTTTTCTATGTCCTCTCTTGATTTTAAATTGTATATTTTAATCTTCTTACAAGGCCATATTTTATCATTTTAGTGTTATTACCCCATTTACACATGTGTTCTTGAATCACTTCTCAAATATATGCCATCATTCTTTTGAAATACATTTACTCCTGAGTCTGAGAGCCTCAATTTCCTGTGGATCCCAAAATGATTCTTGGAAACTGAAGGTAAGGGGAGTTCTTGAGTGATACACCCATGTTTAAAAGAAACTATAAAATTGCTGTCTTAAGAGCTGAGGTATAACAACCCCTTCATTCTGCTCCACTCCCTTCATTTCTTCCTGAATGTAGATCTTAAGTAAACAGCAAGGCCACATCTCAAAATTTGCTGAGTCTGTGATACAGTCACATTACACCTTCCAGCCTTATTTCAAAAGTCACTTCCCTCGGGATAGCTCTCCTCTTCCCCGGGCAGAGAAAGTAATTGCTTCTCTCTAGTCTTTTTTTTTTTTTTTTTTTTTTTTCTGAGACGGAGTCTCCCTCTGTCGCCAGGCTGGAGTGCAGTGGTGCAATCTCGGCTCACTGCAACCTCCGCTTCCTGGGTTCAAGCGATTCTCCTGCCTCAGCGAGTAGCTGGGGCTACAGACGCGCACTACCACGTCCAGCTAATTTTTGTATTTTTAGTAGAGACAGGGTTTCACCGCGTTGGCCAGGTTCGTCTCTACCTCTTGACCTCATGATCTGCCCACCTTGGCCTCCCAAAGTGCTGGGATTACAGGCATGAACCACGGCACCCGGCTGCCTCTCTCTACTCTTACAGCATTTTACACTTATATCTGTTATAACTCACATTACTTGTATTGCAATTGTGCATTTATGTATCTTTCTCCCTCACCAGACAGCAAGATCCTTGCGGGCAGGAAAAGTGTCCTCCTGTATCTTACATACTGACTGCTGGAAAATCCATATGGGCTAAATCATTAAATCAAATAATCTCTTCACACTATTTATCTGTGACAACACAGACGCTGCTATAGGAGGCAAAATAGTACTCAATCACGATTCTTCTCCAAGTTAATATTATACCTGAATTAAACCAGAGGTGGAGCTATCCCCACTGCATCAAGAGCACAGTGCATGATGACTGAACAACCTTTTACATTTTAACCTGTTTTTTAATGCCAGTTAATAAGTGTACATGAAATGAAATCTCATCCAATTGCCTGAAGGATGTTTTACACCTACCTAAAACCAAGTGGACACACACCAACAAGGTATCGGCAGTTTTTCAAGAATTTGAAAATCCTTCTTCTGCTTCATACCCAAGAACCAAAGCAAAGGAAGCCAAGTAGTGCAGGTGCCCTTGCCTTCCCTGTGGATCCTGCATCTTACCCTGCTATAGGCCTTTGTATCACTCTCTTGGAGGTTCAGCTGAAGTGTTATAGACTGGATCAAACATCTCACTCTCTTCTATTTAGATTTTTCCTTTTCCCAGGAAAGATTTTTTTTATTGTTGTTTCCTGTAAAGTAGGCAGTTGCCTAACCCTCCATTCTATAATACCATAATACTCCAGGTCTCATCCCACCAGTTTCTCGGCCTCAATGTATAAAGAGATGCTTTTGAAATATCTGCCTTGAGTGACTAGCTCTTATAATGGAAAATCTGACTTTCAAAAAAGATTGTTTCCAAAATGGGCAATAAGACTTATGGAGGACAAAATCAGATGTTGATTTTTGCTTTCACTTTGCATTCCCTCTTTCTTAATTCTGGAGATGGCAGATTGATCCTTCTGACTTAGGTAAAAAGACCATACAAGAAAGGAAGTATGAATAAATATAAACTCTTTACAGTTGAAATTTCCACATTGATGGAAGAATAATAATAAGTCCCAGTAAATGAGCATCTTTTTGTGTGCCTGTTTACCCCCTATATCATTCACAAGGGATCCTCACTGTGGTCCTGCCAGTTGGAAACAGACTCCACGCCGCGAAGGTCACATTGCTGTCCAAGCAGAAAATAAATGGCAGCTGCAGGGTCTTGTAGCTCAGGCCTATAATCCCAGCACTTCAGGAGGCTGAGCGGGGGTGGGTCACTTGAGGTCAGGAGTTTCAGACCAGCTTGGTCAACATGGTGAAACCCTGTCTCTACTAAAAATACAAAAATTAGCTGGGTGTGGTGACACTTGCCTGTAATACAGCTTCTCATTAGTCTGAGGCAGGAGAATCACTTGAACTTGGGAGGCAGAGGTTGCAGTGAACAGAGATTATGCCACTGCACTCTAGCCTGGTCAACAGAGCGAGACTGCGTCTCAAAAAAAAAAAAAAAAAAAGAAGAAGAAAGAAAGACAGGGCAGTAAATCTTACTGATGTGCAATGATCTCTGCTATCAACCTTATTTTGATAGTTTGCAATATATTTCCTTGTGATAAACTCTGGAGGAAGAGTAATATTCTAATTATTTAACAATGATAGAAAAAACTTTTTTTTTACTCCAATAAATTCGTTTTTTATTGGGGTAACCAAACGCAGATTATCTGAAACACTTTAAAATCTCTGCATGAAGCAATACTTCAAAAAGTGTAAAGAATTTACATGTTTAAATAAATATCATTATTTTTTCAGTCATTAAATTGGCCAAACTTTTAAAATGCTTTTAAATCAGTGAATCAGGCCACACATTGTCAAATTAAATTTTGTGAAAAATACTACAAGATGATTAGCTCCATTATAAGAAAATCTTTTTTTTTATTTTTTATCTTTTTTTTTTTTTAATTGTTTGAGACGGAGTCTTGCTCTGTCGCCCAGGCTGGAGTACAGTGGTGCGATCTTGGCTCACTGCAACCTCCACCTCCTGGGTTCAAGCAGTTCTCCTGCCTCAGCCTCCCGAGTAGCTGGGATTACAGATTCCCACCACCACACCCAACTAACTTTTTATATTTTTAGTAGAGACAGGGTTTCATCACGTTAGCCAAGCTGGTCTCGATCTCCTGAACTCAGGTGATCCACCTGCCCTGGCCTCCCAAAGTGCTGGGATTACAGGCGTGAGCCACCGCGTTCAGCCAAGAAAATCTTTAAAATAGTTTTCAAAAATAAAAATACATTTTAACTTTAAATATTATAATTTAATGATTTTAACATTTTACATTTTAGAAACAATTTAGACAATTAGAATTCTTGGGAATCCTTTTTTAAAATCCTAACCACATTCAAGGAAATAGTACCCCACAGAAGAGAGAAATCACTTGGGAAAAGCTTCAGGGGGAGACAGAGACCACACCCTTGCCCCGCAAAGTGAGAGTCCAGGCTCAGGACTCAGTTCCAGTCCTGATCCTGGCACCTGCTTGCGAGCTCTGTTGCTTCACCTCTTTGAGTCTCCACTTCTTTGGCATCTGCAAAATGAAAAAACTGGACAGGATGATCTAAAGAAATCTTCCATTTCTTAGGAGCATAATTATACGACTTGATAAGCTATTTCACAACTTTTAAGTAGGAGGCTTGCGATTGATCAGAAAAATAAAATAAAAATGCAACTTTTGGTGCAGTTTGATTAAGTAATGAGCTTCTCTGACAGTGGAACGTCAGAATGTGCATTTGGTGATGGCTGAACCCTCGCACCACCTGGGATATTGTACTTTCCACTCTTCCAATGGACTTTATTTTCTAAGGTGATGGACGGATGGCCTAGGTATAGCGTGACTGAATGGAGAAGCAGGATATCCCTAATTTATGCTTTAAGATTTTTTTAATTTAAAATACTTTTCATGAAACAAGTCAATCTTTATTTTAATACTCTTTCCAAATTTAGCAGTAAAGGTCAGTACTATTTTTTCAAGCAAAATCTGAGAATTAAGGACAGTTAGCTAGAGTTTAATGACAAACTTGCTGTTTCGAATGTGTGTGCCATCCCAGAGGATTCTGTAGACACATCAGATCTGTGATTTGAAATGAAGCTGTTTCAAAAGAAGAGTGACAGGATCAAGCCAAGTGATATAGCATGGGTTCCAATGCACAGATTTCTTAAAGAAATTATAGTTTTTTAAAAAGGTTCCTTTAGCTTATTTTTCAAATTCAGACTCTGACTCCACATGTGGTCAAATGAAAACCACAACTTTGCTCTGTAAAATGGCAATCTAAGCCAAGTCTCCTCCTTTGAGAAACAGAATAGCATCGTAATTGTGCCCACTTGCTGGAGTCAAGACAACCTGGGCGCTGGTTCTTCACCGAGTAGATGTGGGCAAGTTATTTAAAACCTGTCAGCTACAGTTTTCTCATTTATCACAAGAGGGACATAGGAGTCCCCACATACTGGGTTCTTTTGTGGATGACAGGAGCCAATCCTTTACAAACATTAAGCATAGTGATTGGCAGGTAGTACGTGCTCAAAATATATGAGGTTTAGTTTTATTTTTTAATTAATTAATTTATTTATTTTTGAGACGGAGTCTCGCTCTGTCGCCCAGGCTGGAGTGCAGTGGCGCGATCTCGGCTCACTGCAAGCTCCGCCTCCCGGGTTCACGCCATTCTCCTGCCTCAGCCTCCCGAGTAGCTGGGACTACAGGCGCCCGCCACCACGCCCGGCTAATTTTTTGTATTTTTAGTAGAGACGGGGTTTCACCGTGTTATCCAGGATGGTCTCAATCTCCTGACCTCGTGATCCGCCCGCCTCTGCCTCCCAAAGTGCTGGGATTACAGGCGTGAGCCACCATGCCCGGCCTTATTTTTTAATCTTTTAAAAAAATCTGTAAAGCATCGCTTGTAGCTTGTAAAAACCAGCAAAATAAAAACCATAATGATAAAAATAATAAAGGCTACTAGTGATCTAAATTACAGTATATTTTTTTATTCTCCAAAACATTACCCAGAATGGGTTCAGACTTTCCTTGCGTGTCAACCAGGCGTAGTTTCAAAAACCCGAGGAGCAAGCCAGGCCTTTCCAGGTAGTGTGTCTACCTCCCACTCCAGCCCAGGCGAGGAGCCGGGCGGGGGCAGGGCTGGGTTCGGAGAAACCCTCTGCTTGGCTCTCCAGGCATAGCTGCCGTGTGCCACTATGCCTGACACTGATCCCAAACTCAGACTTCTCCACTGTGCAAATCCTCCTGCCTTCTTCTGTTACAAGGGCATGGCAGGATGCAAATTCTCTCACTTTGTGATAAAAAGAAACCACTCCGAAAAACCTCTGGCCTTGCAAACCTTGCTTCTTATTGTTCTGAATTACTCTGCATTTCTGTCATTTTTTTCCACTCTATGCTCTTTATTATCCAAGCAACACATTTTCCTCTGAATATCCTCTTTTTCATCCAACTTTAAAAAATTCAATTTAGACAGTATTTATTGAATGCACAAAAAATGATGAGGCCTTGCTCCTGTTTTCAGGGGCTTAGAATGAAAATGAAAAAAGTAAAGAAGATACACAGGCATGGAACAAACAATGATCCCATGATACTCTGACTTCCTTTATGATTCTGAGGCACCACCAGGTGCTTGCATCAGGGTCTACTTTGTAATATTCAAATCAAGGATTAGGTCCTTTGCCAATATGATAGCCACTAGCCACATGTAGCTATTTAAGTTCTAATTAGTCAAAATGAAATAAAACCACAAATACAGTTCTTTAGTCACACTAGCTGCATTTCAAGTGGTCAACGTCTACACAGGGCAAGTGGATACCATACTGGACAGTGCTAGGGAATATTCCTATTATTGCAGAACGCCAATTAGATGGTGCTGATCTAGGGAACTTTGACTTGTGTCATGTTTTGGATTCATGGAAATGCTCAGATTATTACATTAATTTTCATTCTACAAAATTCCTTCCAACGTTTTCTGAAATAATCTAGAATGCAAACAAATCGAGTGATCTTTTGAGCTATATATGACTGATCTACAGGAACATTAATACATGGGATATTTCATTAAAGGATTTGATTTGGTAAAATTTGAGTCATCTATAAAAGGTTGTTGTTGGAGGGAAATTCCAACTACATATGTAGAAAAAGTGATTTTATTTGAACATTATTGGCTTTAGAAATAATTCATATGTAAACAAGATAGTACAAGCAGTCTTCTCTGTGTGTGTGTGTGTGTGTGTGTGTGTGTGTGTATAAGAGAAAGAAAGAGAGAGAAAGATGTTGATGATGATAATGATGCTTTCTCATTTAGTATATCAGAACTTTTCACTCAAAGGGATCTAACACATGCCTACTCAAATATAAAGTAATAGTAACAACAAAGAAACCAAATTACCATGCCCATCTCAACAGGTCCATTTGATAGGAATAACAATTTCACATCAGAATGTAAATCAAGAGTTAGCAAAGGCAAGAATGATGTGGGGAAAAAGCCACTTAGACATTTTATTATTGCTTAAGATATGAGTAAGAATATTTTAAAAATTAAAGGTCCACGTGAGGTGCCTCACACCTGTAATCCCAGCACTTTGGGAGACTGAGGTGGGAGAATCACTTGATGCCAGAAGTTGGAGATCAGCCTGGACAACATAGTGAGACCCCATCTCTACAAACACCAAAAAATATATATATATAAACAAAGCAAACCCCAGACCTCTACATTTTATCTACCCTGAACTTCCCCCAAATGCTGTGAACTGCACCAGATCATTACAGAATTTATATATGACGCAGACTCTCCCTGATATCAAAAGGTTGTATGCATATAACATTTAAATTTCTGCTCTGTGTCAACAGATGCCGCTACAAAGTTCAGCAATGGCACATCTAATATGATTAAGGTGGATGGGGCACTCTAAATTCTGACTTGTTCTTGGTGCTTATTTAAGTAGCTAGCATTGAAGAAAACAAAATTCAAAAATAGTCTTTTCCCAGATGCGCACCATCCCCTCCCAACTCCCCATCTACCCAGGCAGCATCCAACCTTATAAAGGAATTCTCAAAATGTTTGCTAGTAGAGTTAATCTTGCTTCCCATGGATTTTAATCACTGCAGAACCCTTTTGGTTGATAAATACTGTTTAAAGTTCTTAATTCATTGTTTGGATCTCTCTGTACTCAAAATCTTTCTATGAGTTCTTCGTCTTCCCAGGGTCAGGAATCTTTTCTCCTGGATTGTCTCAATGCAAAAATTGAAGTCACCTGAACTATTACAGATGCTTCAACTTTTACACTTTGCTTCTAATTACTGCCAGATGCAATCTAATTAAACCCACCAGGTGTCTCCCCTCAGGTTAGAGTACCTCATAGAATCCTTGCTACGAATAAAATATGGAACAGCAGAACGCTAAGTATGTAACGAACCCTTCATGAAGCAGTTGATAGGTAGGCTTAAACATTTTTTTTGTTATTGACTATAATAGAAAGAGTGAGAATAAATTAACTAAGAATCGTGTAGGCAGTGATGTTCATGACTATTCTGTCATTCCATTGCTCCCAAACATATTTATCGCTGCAAAGTTTCTTTTCTTCATTTAAATGAAAATGTTATTTACTTATCATGCTAAATATAACAGTACAGCTCAAAAGTACCATGTGGGATTTTTCAGATAGACATACTATTTTATTTTCTCAAGGATATGCATGTAATAATTAATACTCTACATGTTCTTAAGTTATATGTAATTTTATTCATTGTTTAATTTTTCATATATAAGCATTATTTGTTAAATGTTTAATATCTTACATTAAACCTTCTGTGTTAATATATTTGTATAATTATGATTCCATAAGCCTTCTTGCTTACTAGTGTATTAATATAATAACCATCAGACTAAAATCTCAGAATGAGACAATTATCACCTTAACTGTAACTTTAGCATGATATAATAACTATGTATAGTTGACAAAGTGCTTATGAGAGTCAATGCATTTACATTTGAATTTTATTTGAACATTAATTTATAATATATTTAATTACTTGTTTCTTACGAAAAATGTTCAGTTTATTTTATAATATAAAATGCTATATGTACAGAAATATAATGAAATTAATATATCAACATATTTGCATATGCAAACTAGGTTTATTCTTTTCTAATTTGGATGATTTTTTCAAAATAGCAAATTATTTTTCAGAGTTAAAAATACAACTGGTTTAAAATAACTTAGCTATTACAATTAATTTTTATTAAGTGAAACTTAAAATCATTTAATAATACCTTGAGCAAAAATACAGCACAAATAGGAAATATATTATGCCATTTATAATTCAAACATTAAACAAGATTTCCCTATCCTTTATGAATTTTTAAATGAATGCATTCTTAAGTTATGATAGAAATATCTAAACATTATGAATTTCTTTCCCTTTATCAGCAGAACAAGGATAAACTCACATTTAGTTGCTAAAATAATACTAAACTTTAAAAAATACCAGACTTCCTTATAATATTTTATTATTAAAATATGATAGTATATGACTATCATTTCATATTATTATAAAATGCAGCCATAACAAAATAGAGAAATATCAGTGACTATCATTTCTAATAGTCACCTATGATATTTCACCATTTTGTTATGGATGCATTTTAAAACAACATTTTTCTTAGAATTATCTGCAACTATATATATATATATATATATATATATATATATATATATATATATACCAACATTTATGTAAAGAAGAGTAGTTTTATAATTAGCAATCCACAGCACAGGCCATCAGAATAATGTTATATTTCTTCTCATTTTAGTGCGTTGGGTGTATTTGATTGAAAAAGTTAATCTATATAACTATCACTTTACTGGCATATGTATGGATAAAATCTCAAAGGCTCAATTATGAAAGTCTGTATTACACTATGGTCAATTCCAAACATTCTTGTATATTCGATAATATTAATTCACAAATACAAAGTCAATATATTGCAAAATAAACAACTAAATGAGGAATATATGAGCTTTGTGTGTATGTGTGTGTGGCTATTCCGAGAAATGTTTAATAATCAGGCTAGGTTGAGCTTTTGACATTTCTTCCCTGGACTTGCTAACACACACTTCAAGGCTGCAATAACTAGATTAAAGTAATAACATATCAAGTGTAGCTCCAGGCTACAGTTTTAGCTGACACAAATCATCTTTCACTGGAAACACTTTATAGTCTCTAACACCGATGACTTTGCTGGAAAAGTTAGTATTTGCCAAGTTGGGGTTGTATTTATATACTGTCATAAATCTGCAGCTAGTCACCACAAGTTTTTGAGTTTGTAATGAAATAGTTCTGATGTAGTTAAAATATCTTCATTATATTTTTAAATCACGTCAGCTTTAACCAGTGTATCCTACGAGTAAATGCTAGCTGATCTGGGTTCCTATTGGCTCCTGAGAATTTTTGGCTGAAGGCTAACAGTTTCATTTGCGCATTTAAAATAGCACATTTGTCTTCAATTTAGAAAAATTAAACTAGTAGTTTAAATGCAAAAGTAAGGAAACAGCATATCTGGCTGAATTATAATAGGTTGTAAGAAAATGAACTCACATCATAAAATTGTGTATCCTAACATTATAAAATACATATTTTACATAAAAATTTGATGATTGATTTTCAATAATAAGCTTTCAGAAATATGTGTTTATAAATATATAATAAACAGGTCTGAAGCATTGTCTATCTATACATCTTTAGAAAAACTAAAAAACAAGTCATGTTTGGGAGTTTATGATTTAATTGGTAGTGTTGAGTCTAGGAAGAACTACAAAGTATGCTTTGAGGAGTGTCAAAACCTAAGAGATTTTAACATAGGTATTTCTACTTCATAAAAATGAAACACTTAGGGATTACATAATTATTTTTATGGGAAACAAATACTATTGATAATACAGTTTGCATGATTCCTCTCAAGAATATACGGTTGACTCTGTGGAACTACACTAGCAAACAGTTTTGCGAGAAACTTCCAATTACGGCATTTTTCCCTTTCCCCATACCTGAATCACAAGCCCCTTAACATACAGAAGAATTATGTTTATCTGACTTTAAAAGCACATTTTGCGGATAAGAACATATTGAAACATATCAGAATGTGATAGTGAAACAGCATTTACCAAGAAATCATCATACCACGTTTGATTTCAATTTCTTGAATCACTTTGAACCACAAAAACCAGACAGCTGGTATTTCGAAGTTTCATAATATCTGTAAAAGTAAACGTTATATATTTACACAAAAACAACTACATAAATACATATATACAAGGGTATCATCAGTTTGAGAGTCACACAGATGGTGAGAATTTGTATAGTAGTAAAACAGGTGATTTTGTTGTCTTAGAAAACGATATGCAATTTCTCATAAGGAACCATAACAGGCAAGTGGTCCATACATTTAGGGGTTCGCTTCCAACATTTATTTACATCCTCTGAATCCTTACAGTGAAGTATGCTGGTTAGATACAATTTATTTTAAAATGAGTACTGTTATATGCAATAATAGTTATTTATAAAACATTAAAGAAGGCTGGAAGCTACTTCACAAAAGGAAACAGTTATCCTTTAAATTTGTTTTTTTTTACTACGGGCAATAGTGCAGGTGATTAACAGATGTAATGATTGAATATATGAGTATATAATATATGAATATACGAAAAATATATGATATATGAGAAATATATGAATATATGAATATATGAATATTTGAAATATATGAATATATGAAATATATTTGAAATATATGAATATATGAAAAATATTTGAGTTATTAAAGAAATATTAAGCACTTTATGTTAAGGGAAGTTTTTTCTGAGTTCCAGTCGACTTGTTTTCAAAATTACCTGGATCTGGGCTAATTCTAAAACACGGTGCTAATATAAAAACCACGCAGGTAACAGTGCTGCCTGTTTTCATGCTACTTACCTGGAAAAACAGTCTAAAACCTGGTAGGGATTGGTCATTTCCTTTTGAGGATGGGAGAACAGTAGGCTATATTTTGTGGAGAAATAAAATGGGCTAGTTTTCAAGTCTGCTGATACATACAGTGCCTAAGCATAGCCTCTATATTTACAAAAAGAATAAAGACTAAATCAGTGGAGTGACTTCTTTTACTGTTTAGAACCAGGACATGAGGTAGAAAAGCTGGAGCCAGTGTGCCTGTCTTCAGGATGTTTGGACATATTTGATGCTTCCATATGCATATGTATGTTACGTATGTATGCAGGTGTACGCATACAGTATGTATCTATGTCCAATGTAGGTGTGCATGCCTGATGTCTGTCTGGCATGTGTATTGTGTGTGATATGTGTATGTACATATATACATGTATGTCTATCTATATAGTTGATAAGATTTCAGTCTTATTCTTTGAGGACAGCATTTTTACTCAGGTTTGCCTTCATTCTGCATTTCCGCAAGATAGTTTAAAGACCCTGGATAACATATAATGTAAAAATAATGTAAGAAATTGTTGCAGTTTTTAGAGCAAAGAGACAAGACACTAGCTTTGAGACAAATGTTTCACTTAAAATTTGTCAGTTTTCAGGTCCTATTTTTCTCCCATTATTTTGTAGTCTCCTTAATTCACTTTTCCAGACCCCAGCTAATGACTTCTTATCTTTGCCTTTTCCATATCAACCATTTCTCCGCATCTCAATTCTGCTACTTGTATTGCAATTGACTTTCTTACCTATTCTCCAAATATTTTTTCACTTATTAAGCACTGCTTCTTTTCTAAGACATCTTCTGTTTTTAGTGTTACATAAGCCTGTTCTATTACATTTGTTAACAGTTGAAAATCTATGATGGTATTAAAAAGGTAAATTAAAAAATGGTAAAAACATCTTGTTCTCTATTCATTGTTAATATCATTTACTATTGTATGATAAAATGTGACTAAACATTTCAATTCATAAAATTTTTCTTAAGAAATCATTTAAGCCTGCCGGAATAACTAGTAGATATGCTAGTACAGTTTTAGAAAGGTTGTTTTAGTGTCATTCTAAGTCATTAATATGCTGTGATTACATGATTACACTTTCAGTTAGCAGGTATCATATTTTACAAGTTTATTTTTTTACGAATGGTTTATTACTGAATTATGAATATGTTAGCAGGAAAATTGAACATTTATTATTTTTCTTTTTTCCTTAAATTATCTTTTTAAAAAGTCAGCATAGAAAGAATTCCTAAATGCTCAATGGTCACAGATTTAAAGCAATATCAGAAATAGTAAGGATTTCAGGGTTATTAAATTGCTGTCTTTAGAATCATGTCTTACTATGTAGACCCAGAACAAAACAACAAATGAAAAGGGGAGCAATAGCACCCTAAACAAATCAAAATAGCAATGTATTGCAACACCTCCAAATTACATTTCCAGTTTTACTTGTATTACTTATTTTGAAATATGCTTAAATATAATTTCAGTTTTGCAAAATAGGTGTGCAATTTAATGATTCTTGCAATGGTTTTCAAAATATCACATTAAAAATCACCTACCCTTCTGCAGTCTCGAGGATTGTTTCTTTCCCATTTCCCTCTGTTAAACTAAATTTGATCTTGCCTAAAGGTGCAAGTATACTTATGTGTGCAGGGACGTCAATAATTCATATTTTTGACATCCAGACATTATATGACCCACTGAATATTCTTAATTAGTTGGGGAAGGAAGCATCTGTATGGATTCACAAATTGTTTTAAACATGCTTTTAAATATTTTAAATTAGAGCTTCCAATTAAAATTGTACATGTCACATTGTCTCATTTAATTCCACTGTTCTTTTTAGGAAGCACAGCCTCAGCTGAACAAGCCTCACTGATGTGAGCTGAGCTCAATTAGTTTCTGATGTTCTGCCAAATTGCCTCATTACCTGTCATACAAACACCACTGACACTTTTAAAGTGGAGCCCTTTGCATCCATATTATTGTCTTTAGAACAAAAATAATTATTCTCATTAGAGTAGTAAAAATAAGCATTTTGCTAATAAACAGTAAACCAATATATTTGTAATATAAATAATACAATAAAGCAATGATGAGACATAAATCAAGTGTGTGCTTACACATATACGTATGTGCCCCTGTGGGGACACACGAGCACACAATGTTTTAAAATTATATAGACTGTGGGTCCTTCATGCAGTCCCTGGAGGTTTGTTATTACAATTACTTTGACCACTGGGTTTTCCATATTAACTGACAATGTATTGATGATAAGAGAAACTAGGAGTTTTCCATTCTGTCTATATTTGAATTTAAAATGTACTTCACCCTTGGATCATAAAACCATTATGAATTCCTCATTGTACAGAAGGCTTAAAGTGGCTTAAAATACACTTACACTACATTCTAGAAGAGAAAGTATAAGCAACTATTGCAAACAATCTTTATTTGTAAGTCTTTCACTAATGTTGTTGACCACTTCTCAAAATATTGACCCACAGGTAAAGATTTATGTGGTTTTTAACCCTTGCATCTTTAGCTTTTTCCTTCTCCCTTGCCCTTTATTCATTGCCTTTTGCGTAGGGAAACAGCAGGACCGAAGGTTAGAATCTAATTAAGAGATAATGTTTCTTCAAAGCTGGTCTATACACATGACATATATCGAAGCAGAAACCATTTTTTTTTTCCTGAATGGCTGGCAGAAGATCATTAATAGAGAGAGAAAAAAGTCGCATTCCATTAACAGCCTCATGATACTGTAAAACACTCTAGTTAGAAAAGTTTCTGTTTGCCAGTGGCTTTCAACCCCAGCTGTATATTATAATCACCTAGAGGGTTTTTAAAAAATACCCCTGCCTGGGCTGTACTGCACACCAATTAAATCAGAATCTTGGTGCTAGAGCTGGAGGCATGGGTATTTTGTAAAACCTCCCTGGCTGATTCTACTGCACAGCCAGGGCTGGGACCCGCTGTTCCAAGAACTTCCACCTTACAGATTAGAGGTAATCATGGCACCAGGCGTAACCACATGCCTTTCTTTGGGCCTCACATCTATTCTTTATTTTAAGTAAACTCCAAAGGACTCTTTAAAACTAAAATTACCATGAACAAAATTGTACGTTACTTTAAATATTGTTGGACGTGTCTATATCCCTGGAGTTTGTATTGACATATTTATGAGTCTTGTTTTATTTTGTGATGGAATTTAGATAATCTAAGGAACTCAATATTTGTGTAACTAAAAATATACTATTTTAAATTTCTACTTTAGGATGGAAGAATCCTTTTTGTCTTGTATAATATGAGATTAAATGTCAGAAATCTTAGTGTTGCCTTGGATACAAACCTGGGGTAATTATTAGAAGATTGGGCCATCTGAATTTCTCTCCCACTCAAGTTTTATGTTGATCTCATTACCCATGCATTGTTATCAGTGTTCCTGGAAAATGTGAATAACCTGGCGTCTGCAAACACTGAACAACAAGCCTTTCTGGAAAGGAAATTTGCTCCTGTGCTATAAGGTTCATGCCATCAGCAAATATCACTGCGCAATTTACTTTCAGCACCCTTTCCACTTAGCAGAGGCGTTCTGCAAACACACAAGGAGGTTACAAGAATAATATATGGACTGACAAATGCACTTCACTCAGCATGGCATGCGGTGTCCTTACCTTCCATGCCTCTAAATCAGTAATTCTTAAGGTGGGCAGTTCATCGGAGTGTCTGGAAAGGGCCTGGGAGACATAGTAGCAATGTAGAAACAAAGCAATGTGTTTCCCCGTTAATTGTATTTGGACTAGTCTCACTATTTAACTTCATTTTTAACTTACGGCCAATATTACAGGAGGGCAAATAGTATACTATTTCCTGTTAATTAAAGGGTCAGGAAATTAACACGTTCACTCATTTGAAGGAGCACTCTGGGTCAGGTGATTTTGGAGAAGGTTCTCCTAATTCAAGATCTCCTGACCTTGGGCACTACTGACATTTTGAGAAGGATAACTGTTGCGCAGGGCTAGCCTGTGAATTGTGGGATATTTGAGAGCACCCCTGGCATCTACACACCAGATACCAGTACCACCCTCCTTGCATGACAATGAAAAATGCTTCCAGATGTTACCAAATGTCCCCTAGGGTGAAACTAGTGCCCCTCACCCCCCACCCCACTGAAAACCATACTTCTAATTCAAGTCTTAGTAGTTGATTAGTCTATTTTATTACTCTATAATTACTATGTAAATACATGTTTTCAATTTCCTAGACAAAGGATATTCACGATGTTTCAGACAATGACATTGAGCAGGGAGGGCTTATGCAGTGAATTTCAACCTGGTGTTAGTTTTCTCAACATAGAGTGAGCTGCATTTGTGACACTGGTTCCTGATCAGATCATTGACCATTATTTCTCCCATTCTTTGCTTTACAGTGAGCCACTTACTACAATTCCCATCTTGTCAGTTTTGTCCTTCATATTAATACTATGCTACTTTGCCAGACACTCTTCATGACTCAGAGATGGTGGAAAGTAAGATTAGATGATGCACTGCCCCGCTTTGTAGCTAACTTCACAGTGATGTCACATTGGTTGGGAAAGCTTTTTCCATTTTCAAATCAGAATAATGAGGGCATCAGATAATTTTAGAATCTTAGAGACCTTTTAATAGAGATATCTTTATTTTATATGTTAAGAGACAGTGGCAGAGGTAATTTAAATGACTTGTCAATGTGTCTCATGACAAGTTGGTGTTAGAACTCAGATTAAACATTTCTAAGCCTTCTTACTGGGTCCACTTTTCATTTTATTGCAGTTTGTTTCCTTTCCTAATGCTCTGAATATCATATATATCACTATAGTGATTGCTAAAGAAAACAAAGCTCTGAAAGCAAATCCCAATTCTGCAATACTTGTTATTTATGCTAGGCAGTTAAGACATTTTCCTTGATGCTCATATCTGTCTCGATTGGAACTTATAGACCAAAATTAGCCTCGTGAATTATTGTTTATAGAAATAATGTCGTGTGTAAGCTTAGGATACATTCAGATAGTTTAGCTAGCTGGTAAAAGACTTCAAAATTCTGTTTAATCTCCTATTTATAGTGCTGTCATTGGATATTATTTTGCTTTTCTGATAAGGTAAATAATAATAAAATAATTATGATAGCAAAATAAATTTCCAAAAAAGGCTGACATTAACACTTTGAGATTTTACTAGGAATCTTGTGATTTTCCCGCATATGCATCTTAAATGCAAAGCCAATCCTCAGAGTATATTTTCCATTTATTAATTAACAATGGTCCTCTTCATTTTTCATCTCTCTACACTCTGTTGCCTGTCTTGGAATAATTTCACTGCACCTAAGCACATTTATTAGAGCAGATAGAAGGGGGAGAGAGAAAGAAAAATTCAGTGAAGTTCATTTTTCTATTCCAAAGCAGGTCCTGCAAGATCTCAAGGGATTTATGCTGCTTTGCACTCCATCTGTGATTGCCGTGCCTCTTAGTCCCTTGAGAGCAACTACAATGCCACTTGGTTTTAAAGTTAGTTTCAGCAAGTTGTTGTCGCATAGCTTCTTTCACCTACAAAGTGATCACCTCCCTCTCCCTCTTCCTTTCTCTCTTCCTTTCTCTTTCTCTTACTGTCTGTGTTAAAAAACACATACATGTATATTCATTTTGCTTTACATTGTATGCATATTTACACCATCCTTAACCCCAAGCTAATGAGAACACTTGATCCAGGTCACATAATTCTCCCCAACTTGCTAAATGAATTCTAACCATGTATGTGTTTGTAACATTTTTAACTCACTTTACATTTTCTCATTGAAACTGCATATATATTGTGGCTATGTATGTGCCTTTTTGAGGATAATAAATTAAATGTGGCAAGTGTCCTCACTGCATGCATTAAGAAACAGAGGCCCACTTAGGCCTCTTCAAGATGAGGCTCGAAATTCCACTTTGAGGCTAGAAATTCACTGCAGTCTTGGGGACACCATGTTGTGAATAACCCAGGTGATATCACACGGGCATGGCACTTCCCTCAGCTTATGCCTCAGCCCAGACATCTTAGAGGATATAGCCTACTGGGCAGCCTGGATTTTTATCCTGCAAATGCTCATAAATTAATTTCATGTTGCAGAAATTAAATGCATTGGAAGAAGACTCCATTTAAATTAAAATGGTTTGAGTTAATTATGCAATAGGCATAACATAGCAATAGAGAGTGGGCTAGTAAAAAAAAAAAAAGTTTTGATGGGTGGTGTTTGCTACTTTCTATGGTGTAAATATTCCCACCAGAGCCATTTTCAAGCTACCAATGTGATGTCACTGAACACGAGGTTGAGAAGAGACATGTAGAATTGGCTCAGGATGAGTGGCTTGCATCCAAGAAAGAGGCAGAGGAGTAAAATACAGCCTATGATGAGCTAGTGCAGGCTGCTCCCAGTGGATTGGCATCTAAAGTGGGCAATTAAGGTAACTGCAACAGAGCAAGGTTCTCCACAGCCTTGCAAATCAAATCAATTTCTGAGGATCAGCACCTTTGTCATCATCTATAAATTTGTGAGATATGAAAGATCTCAGGCATTTCTCCCATACTTAGTCAGAATCTGCATTTTACAAGATTTCCAGGTGATTCACATACAAATTAAATTTTGAGAAGCACTGGTCTACAGAGTCATCCCATTCTAAGAGACCCAGAATCTCTGCAAGAGAAAGCCTTGTCCCATCCATTTGCCCATGTTCTGCTCTAGAGCCTTCCCTTGGCATCACCGTACAGGATGCATTGTGTCAAAAGGACATGTGCCCCATCCCCTTTGCTCAGGTCAAGGTGTGCATTTCTCTAATTCAGTGAATTTGCCAGTTGAACAGTTATGAGATTAGGACTCACATCTGTTAGGTGAGAAAATTCTTTTTTATTCATGACTCCACAGGGGAAAAAAAAGGGTTTTTATTTAATGATTATTCCCTTTTTGCATTTTATTCAGTTTTTATAAGTTAGCCAACATTTTGCTGCAGTCAGGGACAGGATGCATAGACATAGCAGGTACAGTCAAAACCTGATGTTTGCTGGGCAGAGTGGGGGACTGTTTCTGGCAGAGACTGCATCGCGGCAGAAAGGCAGGGCAATAATACTGCCCAGGGCAATAAGGAGGATAAGATGAGGGTCTTTGAAAAAACCACGTTTTTCTTTTTTCTGTCTCCAAGGGCAGCATTTTTTTTTTCTGTGCTGAATGTCAACTATTCTCCGCTCCATTCCTGAACTCTCAGAAAATGACTCAACCCTTCCCCTCTCTCCAGAATCTCCTTCACTTGTGCCCCTCTTCTTCCTTCCCTCTACTTCCCACCTGCATATCTTCTTCCATCACTTAGATCTCTTCTCTTTTAGATCTTTTGTGTCTTACTATTCAAGGGCTATTCAAGGACCCCTTAGAGAGGCAAAGGTGATACTGTTGAAAATATTTCAATTATATTTAGGGCAGTTGTAGGTTCATCTCAGCTTTGACACTTACTAGCTGGGTGTATTTGGGTATTTTTTTCTTACCTCTCTAAGTTTGTTTCTTCATCCCTAAAATGGTTTTAATAATTCAGAGGCAAGATATCATAAGCTTCAAGCTTTTAGCAGTGTCTGGCATATAGTAAGACCTCAAACGGAGTAGTTTTTCCAATTTCTTATTGTATTATTTAGTACATGCTTAACCCTGGACCAAAACTGCTCTCTTGAAAATCATCAAGGATCTGCAAGTGATGAGATTCGTTGGCCCTTTCCAAGTCTACAGTCTGTTGAAGCATTTTAGACCTTTGATATACTTTACACACAAATGTCTCCCCTTCCACATTTGTTATCATTGTTGATTACAATTTATTCTCGCTGCTGACAAAACATTTTGCTCCTTTCTACATGCTTAAGGAAGGTTACTCTTGAATCAGAACTCTCTTATTTCTCAGATTGAGGCAATTAATTGCTCAGAAGACCATAAATGAGTGGAAAGATTATAAAAAGTGGTGTCAAACAAATACTGGTTCTGCCACTTACTGCCTGAAAGTAATTTAAACTCCCTGAACTTCAGTTTACCCTTGATAAAAATTATCTATTTGGAAGCATCTTGAAGGTTAAGAGATAAAAATTATTGTGTGCAAATACTAAGCATAGCATTTGGAAATTACATAATAAAAGGTTTGTCCTTTCTCCTTTTCTGTTTTACAACTCACGTGCTGATTAATTGTTTCACTGTGTGAGGGTGAAAAAAAAAAACACTTGGATTCTAGTAAGTCTACATTCTTATTTTTAGTTCTACAATGATCCCTATTGACATTTATGCCACATTTAACCATGAGCTGTTGTTATTAATGATAAACATCTGCTTGGTAGAGTCATTATACTTAACATTCAAAAACAAAATTTGGGTCTCAACTACTATGTATTGCTTTTATAAATGTGTTATCTTTCTTCATTTAAATCCCATAAAGTGCTATGCTTTGTGAAAGTGCATTTGTTGATAGTGTGCCTACCAAAAAAGATAGCATTTCAGGAGAGTATATAAAAATAGACATTCTTAGAAAGGAGGCATTTCAATAGATAATGGAAAATACTAAAACTGGAAATTATGTCATTTTGATCGTAGCACAACGTACAAATTCCCTTCAAATCAGTGTCTTTGGGTAATTTTAAATCTCCTCTATGCAAATCAGATCTACTGAATCATCTAAGAATCACCTTAAATGATTCCTTAATTGAAAATTTTAATTATGCATAAATGTTTCAGTATAGTCTTAATGGTAAAGTCCACTTCATTTGACTGATGTACTTACTTTGAGGTGCTATATTAACATGAACTCAAAGTTCCTTGTAAAAGCGTTCTGTGTTTAGATGGGAAAGATATTACAGGCTTCGTTGTAACATTATTGTAAGCAAGTTGTTTTCATAAATGTGTGCTTCTGACCCTGAAACACTCAGCTCCCTAGAACCACAGGGATACTTGGAGCTTGAGAGTTGACTGGAGAGCCAGGACACACTAGTAAAGGATTTACAATTATTTTCTGTGAATTCATTGCCTCAGTCAAAAATCATACCAGGTCTATGCCAAGTACTGAGGATATCAAATGAGGAAATATGTTCCTTGTCCTCAAGAAATTCACCTTACACAGCCCATAGCCAAAATCACACGGTGAAACATTTGAACTTCAAATGGAAGAATATGTCAATGATCTGATGTTATCGGGTATAAAGTCTTAGTGTGTGGATATCTCTGCCTCACCCAGAAGACAATCAGTGTGTCAGGTGACCTGTGTGTATTGATAACTAAGTTGCACTGGGAAGGCTGAGGTAGGTTACGGTAAGTAGAGACTTGTGGTCGTCACATTTTAGACTTGGAGATAGAGATACCAGTGAGTCTCCTATGCTGTCCAGGACCCCACAGTTACCAAGAGATGAATTTGGGGACCAAACACCAAAGCCTAACAAACTCATTAAGCAAAGCACTACATTCTTATTGCATTTAGGATGATTCATAGAACAGAACTTCAAAAATGTCCCATTCTCTCGGGCCGTTGAAACTGAAACTGCATCATAAAATCTAATAAAATTAAAAGTGGTGTGATCACTCTTTAAAAAAAGCAATGGGTCTGTGTGTAAGCCATGCACAAGAAGCAGCTTTTAGGCTGGAGAAGTGAAAATAGACTCCTTGGGTTTCTCTGTTTAAAAGGTGTGAGGTGAAGTGATCAGCAGATATCGGGAAGGAAGCTGTAAAAGATATTTTTATCATGAACTGATATTCGCCTCACTCAACAGGGCCACTTTCCGCCTTTGCTTTCAGTGGTAAATTGTCTCTCTCAGCCCCATTGCCCTCCCTGCTTCTTCCTTTTGCCCATCGCAGCCTTGGTGGCCATGAGTTTGTTGCAAAGGTCTTTGGTCACTGCGGTGGCAGCTCTGTCTGATGCCACCTTGGCACTCTGCTCAGATTCAAGACCTTCTCACCTGTGGCTTTCGAAAGGGAGATCATGGGAAAAGATTGTTTACCATCAAACTTTCTGGATTCAATGATAGGTTTTGTTTGTTTGTTTGTTTGTTTGTTTGTTTTAATTTATTGAAATTCCACATTTTGTTGACTGGGATTCCAGCAGCAGCTTGCATAACTTTGGTGAATGGATGCATGGGTGAAGCTGAACTAGCAGAAAGTCCAAAAGCCTATATCCCAGAACATTGGGAATACTATAAGCATCCTATATCAAGACGGATTGCCCACAGTTTCCATAATAGTCCTGAAAAGAACTATGAAAGAGCAGTGACCGTCATTCAGATCGAAGCCAAAAAGGCTGAATTACAGTTAAAGCAGCTGGAAATATGAAGATTAATACCTGACAGAGGAGATGGGCCCTAGTATGAATATCTGTTATTAAGGCACTTATTGAGCATTCTCCAAAATCAGCTCCTGAAAATTAATCATTCATTTTTCTAAATACAAAGTATATTTTCTTTAGTGAAAAATAAATTGTAAATATATTCTCAATTTTTCCTCTCTGATGAATAAAAGAGCTTCTTCCGTTGCTCTGTTTCTCAATGTTGATTTAGATTAAGGCTTTTGATGGGGGTTTTGGCTTTCTCTTTTGGGTTTAAAATATACTAATAAAAACTGGAGAAATAGGAATTTGTAAATTCCAAACTTTGTGGTAACTGTGAAAGGTTAGCATTGATCTGACAAATGGAAGTTTAGAAGAGAAGTCTAATTATGTTAAGCATCTGTAACTGTGATAGTTTTTACAAACATCTATATTATAGACATCTGTATTATTGAGAAACAACTCAGGATTTTAAGTTCCATAAAAACTTTGAACCAACTATATAAAACATTAACACTTTAATAAACAATTTTCAGCAAAAAAGAAGAAATGATATTCTAAGATTAAAAAGTGAATCAGCAGTCTCCCTATTTTGGAATTTGATGGATCAATACGATCTAAAATACCATTTAATGACCAATGGGCATTGCCCACTTGTGGTATGTGGGAAAGGCAATTAAGAAATGTAAAAACCAAACTTAAACCACTTGCTGACACCATAATGTCACAAAAGGGTACACTTTGCAACACAAAACATTAAAAAGTATATAATCTTCAAATAAAGGAGCTTTTAGAAAGTTATTTAATTTATAAAAAAATCTTCTGGCTACACTCAGTGGCTCATGCCTGTAATCCAGCACTTAGGGAAGCTAAGGCGGGAGGATCACTTGAGCCCAGGAGTTTGAGACCAGCCTGGGCAACATATGTCTCTACAAAAACAAAAACAAAAACTTCCCACGTACATTCTTGTCCTTGGTATGTATGATGTATGTACACACAGGCCCATAAACTAGTTTGTATGAACCTTTGATTTAGATCATTTAGAGTTGTGCTTTGGAGCCTCGGTGTGCACATGGGAATTCATCCTTTTCAGGGGGACTTTCTGCCTCTACTTCAGAGCCAGCCTGCTACTACTGCGAGAGGAACAGCTATCTCAGGGTACCTTTGTGAGTACACTATGGTGATGCTGCTGGAAGAGAAAGCATATTGTTTTCCTCACTCCACAGCTGTTGCTTCAATTCAGCTATAGTCGCCACCTTTCACTTTGTAAAGCAAAGCTGCTTCCATGTGGGCATTAGGAGAGGTGTAGGTTAAAAGGATAAAGAGGTTGGAGAAGGGGAGGTTTTTTTTTTTTCTCTTCACACCTTGAGAATTATCATGATCTGGTTCAGAGAAGGATTTTGCCTATCTGTGTAAAATGTTTAGATGAAACTCACACAATAACATATACTTTCAATTTTCCTTGTAAGATAACTAAAAACATTCACTTGCATGAATATGTAAACGCTTTTTTAAACATGTGCATTGCACTTCTTCAGCACACTACATCTCTGAACATGCTTCACATAGTATGAGAGACACAGCCGGGCATTCTGGGCAATTCTTTTAAATGTTCCGTGATGACTTTTTAGGCTGTAGATTTTGGAGAATGAGAATTTATCCAGTGCCAAGCAGCGTGTCTATTATGCGTCATTGATCCCTGTAAATGTAGTTTTTGACTTGAGATGGATGGCTGTAAACTTCTCCACAGTCATCTAAGTAACAAGGAAAATCATTAGCATCTCAAACAGGCTGTTCAGACCAAAATGTTTTGCATTACTTCTGTCCACATTTGCCAGCCCCACTGTTTTATTGCTCGATGCACAGAAATAGCTGTCTGCAGCACACCCACTTTTAGTGCCTCTCAGACACAGATTCCCATCAAAGTGAAATGCAGTGGGGCCAGAGTGAGGTGCTGTGACTTGGATCAGTTCTCCATCGTTTCCTGCCCACAGAGTTGGAGCGGTTTTGTAGATTTAGAACTTTCACCCCCAGAATTGCTCCCTACCTTTTGAGATTCCCATTTCAAGATACACAGTTGCAGGGGTAAAAACTGTAGGAAGAGATGAAGGTACTCCCCAATGCTCTGGAAAGAATCGTTTCTTTTCCTAGAGTTGTTTATGGGGGAATACCAGGGCCTAAAAGTGTGCAGTGATGGTGGCTGCTACTCTTTTTCCCTCCTTAGCCCTCCTGATAACATATTACTTTGGATCAACCAGTGAAATTGATGAGTTGTTCATTCATGTAAAAATCTCTCTTGGCTCCTTACTTGACGCCAGGCACAATGCTATTGCAGACATTGTAAGTACGGTGGTCAAATTAGGGAGGAGAGATGCTATTTCTAATGGAGCTTACCTGCTAATGAGGGCAAGAAAGCCAAGAAACACACAGAAAAGCAAGCAGCAGATGATTTCAGATGGCGGTGGGTGACGTGGATGGCTGGGTGATGGTGAGAATAGAGAGTAACTTAAGGAGCTGGTGTTACACAAGAGAGGACGAGATCAGAACGCTTTCCCAGAGACCTGACAACCAAAGCCTGAATCCAAGGGGATATCTAAGTGTACGGCTCAAGTACAAATAAAATCAATTGTGAAAATCCCAAGGCAGGAAAAAGCAGTTTTGAAGAAAATGAATTAAGGCGACATTGGTCTAGGCCAGTTAGACCATAGCAGTAAGAAGTGAGGTCGGGGAGAGAGGCAGGAACAAGAACCTGGCAGGGTCTTTTTTTTTTTTCTTTTTTTTTTCTTTTTTTTTTTTTTTTTGAGACGGAGTCTCGCTCTGTTGCCCAGGCTGGAGTGCAGTGGCGCAATCTCGGCTCACTGCAAGCTCTGCCGCCCAGTTCACGCCATTCTCCTGCCTCAGCCTCCCGAGTAGCTGCGACTACAGGCGCCCGCCACCGCGCCCTGCTAATTTTTTTGTATTTTTAATAGAGACGGGGTTTCACCGTGTTAGACAGGATGGTCTCGATATCCTGATCTTGTGATCCACCCGCCTCGGCCTCCCAAAGTGCTGGGATTACAGGCGTGAACCACCGCCCAGCCCCTGGCAGGGACATATAGGAACGGATGAGCACTTGATTTTTACTTCATCTTCATCCTTTAAGGGTGAGCATTGTTGATGCTATGGAGATAGAAACAGATATACATGCCCAGGAATCCATAGCACCTACAGTTAACGGAGAGAGGAAATTCATTTCTCTTCCTTTCCTTGGCCCCAAATATAGATAGAACATATCTGCTGGAACTTGGAATCTCCTAGCACCACTCTAAGTATAGTCGTCTCTATTTTTTCTCTGTATTTTAAAACATCAATTGGGGTTATTAAGATTTATTTTATACAGCCGCATCATGAGAGAATGTAATTTTTTCATTTCATTGTTATGCTCACTAATGGGAATTGTGACATTTTTGTTCAAATGTCTTTCCCTGTAGCTTGTTTGTTTATCTGAAAAATCTTCATTTAGTGCTGTCAGAAGCAGCAAAATAATACTTAGGCCTTTTCTGCTGAGCAAATATTGCATCCGCCACATCCCTTCTGCTATCGCTCCTGTCATGTATTTTCAGGAACATAACATTAAATCAATATTTTTAACAAAAGTAAAAGTAGTGTATATTTAGCTCCATGTGTTGAGAAATAATTCAGTGCCGAAGACCCATCAAAGATGTCAGCAGAGTTCAACACATATTTTTGTTAACGGATGTCTAGAACAGAATAAAATATGTCTGCTGCATAAAGCTTTTCATAGTATACTTGAATTATTTTTCATTGCTAGGTGGGGTAAGAAATCATAATATTTAAAGTAATTGTTTTTACATATCTCAATTGTTTCACACACAACAAATATACAATTTGTGTCATCACCTTAAAAATAAAAAGTGACCCAATATTGCCATATTTTACAATCATCATCTTGGATTTCCTTCTTGAATATCTAACATTGTATTCTTTTTTTTTTATTTATTTTTGCTTAAAAGCTTTTTTTTTTTTTTTTTTTGGTTGTTTATTTTAAGTACCTCTTTTAGAAATACAAGTGCTCAAAATGTTTCAAATGTTACCTGAGGGATTCCCTCCTCAGATTTGGGAAAAATTCAAAATGACATTGAACATAACTCCTTGGCTGTATCTCTAGCATAAAAAATTCCATTTTATTTTTAATATGCCTCAGTGCATTCAAAATAAAGTCTTTAACATTTCAAATGCATAAGTGATGAGAACTTACTCTTTAGTATACTGAGTCCCAAACTATGGCTTCAGTCACTGTGTGAAACTTTGATGGCCCAAGGATTTTAAAATTCCTAAAATGTTACTGTGGTCACCAAACCCAAGAAAAGCATAGTAGGTTAAATTTATATTTAAAACATTTGCGGCTTTCCTCGTAATTAAGCAAACAAGTATATCACAAAATCTTTAACTCTCTTACGGGTGAAAAGAAGGTTTGTAAACGTATGTCCTATTTAAACACAAATATTTAAAATGCTGTATGTGAGAAGGTTATATGAGGTGAGTGTTTTGCAGGTCTTTGAAATCCGCCTTTTGTTAGGGTTTTAGGGTAAAATTTTGTGTTTAAAATATTACTGATCATTTATTTGGGAAAATATCCCAATTTACAACTAACGTTATAATTTAAATTAATGTGTCTTAAAATGCAACTGACCTTTATCTAGTAAATTATGAATGAATTCATAACCACTGCTATGGTTCATGGCCATTTTTTAAGGATAGAAGCAAGTGCTGGAGGAAAATATGATTTACTAACAGACTGCTTTGAGAATGGAATATTTTAATAATTTGGGTTTTCTAGCCAAATGAATTGCTGCTAGAGATCATTTATATTTCAAACTATGACATTGAAAATCTTCCTGACGTCTGTTATTCCCAGTCCCCGGGCCGATGTCTGTAGGCACCGGGTAAATATTTGTTGAAGGCGATGCAGGGCTGATTCCAGTCCTGAAACTGTCGCAAGGGTGTGCGGTGAGTGCCCCTCCTGGGAATGTGCTCTTCAAACTAGCACAGAAAGAAGTATGACTTTCTTCTTTCTTTTTTTTTTTTTTTTTTTTTTTTTTTTTTTTGAGACGGAGTCTCGCTCTGTCGCCCAGGCTGGAGTGCAGTGGTGCGATCTCGGCTCACTGCAAGCTCCGTCCGCCAGGTTCACGCCATTCCCCTGCCTCAGCCTCCCGAGTAGCTGGGACTACAGGCTCCCGCCACCATGGTCTCGATCTCTTGACCTCGTGATCTGCCCGCCTCGACCTCCCAAAGTACTGGGATTACAGACGTGAGCCACCGCGCCCAGCCGGCAGAAAGAAGTATGACTTTCTAATCCAAAATCAGATTTCGCCATTTAGAGAAGATTTGAGAAATTCTGTTTGTATTTAAATCATCCTCATCCCACCCTCAAGCCTCAAGAAAGATGAGAAAAGTATACTATGTGTGGGGAATGCTTTTATTCAAAAGCTTGTTCCTACCTTCCTTCAGGAGACATGTCACACTGCACATTTTGTCTTACATTATTTTGAATATATTAATTGTCTATTACGCATAATGATCATATACTACTAGCCCATAGATCCCATGAGGACAGGAGCCATGTGGATTTTATTGATTAGTGTGTACACAGCACCTGCCACATACCTGACACAGATTAGAAACTCACTATGTATCTCTCAAATGAATTAATGAATATTAAATATTGAATTAATGAATAGTGAAAACCAGGCAATAAGAATGTTTTAGCAGCTGATATTTATTAAATTAGGTTTTCCTAGGTAGCTCACGGCAGCTAAGCTAATTACAGTAAGTCTTCACTTAACATCATTGATAGGTTCTTGGAAACTGTGACTTTAAGCAAAACAACGTATAATGAGAGCAATTTTCCCATAGGCTAATTGATATGAACAAGATTTTAGCTACTAGGGCATATTTCTGGTCTCCTAAACATCAGCAAACTTCTAAATAAAGACCAAAACATTTTCATATAAACATTTAAATAAATGTGAGCTGGACATACATTTAAGAAGGATTAATCAAAACAAGTAAGATAATTATTCACCAACTTATTCCAGTCCAGGGTCCCAGGTGGCTGGAGCCACCCACTGACACCCACACTCACCCATAAACACCCTCACTCATTCACTCTCATTCACACTCACCCACACACTCACACGCACCCAAAAAACACACTCGTTCACTCTCGCTCACACTAACCCACACACTCACACGCACCCACAAACACCCTCACTCATGCACTCTCACTCTTACCCACACACTCACACTCACCCACAAACACCCTCACTCATTCTTTCTCACTCACACTCACCCACACACTCACACGCACCCACAAACACCCTCACTCATTCTCTCACTCCACTCACCCACACACACGCACCCACAAACACCCTCACTCATTCACTCTCACTCACACTCACCCACACACACGCACCCAGAAACACCCTCATTCACTCTCACACACGCACCCACACTGACCCACACTCCCCCTCATTCACCCTCACCCCTACTCCCCCTCATTCACCCTCACTCACCCACACTCACCCTCATTCACCCTCACTCACCCACACTCACCCTCGTTCACCTTCACTCACCTTCATTCACCCTCACCCACACTCACCCACCCAATCACACCCACACCGATGCTCACTCACCCACACACCCTCACTCACCCACACACCCACCCAATCACATTCACACACACCCTCACTCACCCTCACCGTCACCCACACACCCACACACCCTCACCCTCACTCACACTCACTTTCACCCTCACCCACACTCACTCACACTCACCCTTAGTCACACACCCACACATTCACACATACCCACACACCCACACTGACCCACACACACCCTTGCTCATTTACTCTGTCACACTCACCTACACACTCACCCACACTGACCCAAACTCACCCTCATTCACCCTCACTCACCCACCCAAGCACACTCAGCCACACTGATGCTCACCCTCACCCACACCCACATACACCCTCACCCACACACCCACCCACTCACATTCACCCACACCCTCACCCTCACCTACACCCACTCACCCTCACACTCACACACCCTCACACTCACCCTCACCATCACCCACTCTCACCCACACACCTGCACCCTCACTCATACACCCTCACCCACACTCACACCCACACTCACAATCACCTACACTCAGTGACCCTCACCCACACTCACCCTCACACACCCTCACTCAACCTCACTGACCCTCACACACACCCACACTCACCCAGTCACACTCACCCTCACACATTCACATTCATCTGCATTCACCCTCACCCCCACACTCACACCCTCACCTCATCTCACCCACACTCACCCTCACTCACACCCAGTCACCCTCACTCACCTACAGTCACCCACACTCACCCTCACACTCTCACACTCTCACCCCCCACTTCCTCCCACTCACCTGTATTCACCCACACCCACTCTCACATTCACAGTCACCCACTCCCACACTCACCCTCACCCACTCACCCTCACCCACAAACACCTTCACTCACCCACTCACCCACACTCCCTCCTGCTCACCCACACTCACCCACATTCACCCTCACCTGCATTCACCCAAACTCCCTCCCGGTCACCCACACTCACCCACACCCACTGTCACACTCACACTCATTCACACGCCCCCACACTCACACTGGGCCCTGAGGACGCACCAGCTCAAAGGGCTAAAGGACACCTCTTGGGGATGTGGGAGGAAACTGGAGTCCCTGGAGTAAAGCCACACAGGCCGAGGGAGAAGGGGCAGATCCTGTACACACCGGGGGCCCGATGGGTAGCAGCTGTTTTCTCTTCACCATTATAACAAAACAACCCTGTAGGGACCAATGTTATTGTCAGACCTGAAGTGTAATGAAGCGCCCCCTTTTTCTAAGTGGGTCTCACTCACAGAGATGCCATTAAAAATTATTCCTGGCCAGGCGCAGTGGCTCACGCCTGTAATCCCAGTACTTCGAGAGGCCGAGGCGGGTGAATCACCTGAAGTCAGGAGTTCGAGATCAGCTTGGCCAACACGGTGAAACGCCGTCTCTCCTAAAAATACTAAAATTAGCCGGGCGTCTGTAATCCCAGCTACTCGGGAGGCTGAGGCAGGAGAATAGCTTGAACCCGGGAGGCGGAGCTTGCAGTGAGCCAAGATCATGCCACTGCACTCCAGCCTGGGCAACAGAGTGACACTCCATCTCAAAAAAAGAAAGGAAGGGAGGAAGGAAGGAAGGAAGGAAGGAAGGAAGGAAGGAAGGAAGGAAGGAAGGAAGGAAAGAAAGAAAAAAGACTCCTAACTCCCAGCTTGTCACTCTTGGAATAGAGTGCCGTCTCTTTTACAGGGTATGAGGAAGTGGGAGGGAAGGTGAAAGGAGTCATTGCCAGAAGGGCCCAGGGTCTCCCAAGACTAACGCATCCTTCCTGGTTTCACGATGCCATTAGAGCCAGAACAACGCCTTTACTTTTTTCTTTTTTTTGGAAGGCAGTCTTGCACAGATCCAAACCAGGTGGAAAAATGCTTAAGGTTTCCCCACTTTCTCAAAAAATGTCATCACTAGTCCCAAATCAGTTAACCCTTTGCTCACATAAAATGCATTTGTACTCCTTAAATGCACCAACAAATAACGATTCCAGTTGACCCTGTTAAATCTAAGAACACATAAGAGTAGGATTAAACAGTTTGGCAGGCAGGTTCTCTGACTGCTGAACTCTTGGAAATACAATCACTCACCCTAGATCCTTTTTCCTCACATAAGGGCTATGAAGCGAGCTTTCTAACTATCCTTCAGCTGAGCACATAGCTTTCTTCAAGGAACGAACACCACTTCATCCTAATTGCTATTGTTTCTTTTCATAGCTGGCACTATCTCTGCCTTCTTGGCTCGTGGACTGTGCGAGAAGCAGATGTAAGGGGAGGGCTTTAAACTGAGAAGGGAAGACAGGTAGTAAATCTAAAATACAAAATTAATTAGGAACTAATTCAGGAAGAGAGTATAACTTGCTGACTTTATTGCCATCTTCAAAGCAGATGGGGCGGTGGTAAAATTCCCTTTCAGCAGCAAAGTGAAACAACAGTCAAATGTGAATTCCATCTTAATAATTATTTTTGCCTAAATACAGCCCTCCTTTGAAGAGACAGAGACTAGCAAAAAATAAACTTACAATTACGTGTTAGTGCAGGGAAGATGTGGTCTGGATAACACCAAGGGGATTGGCAAAGACATTCATCTCTTTGTTCAGAAATCATTATATCGACCTTGACTTACTGGCATGTAGCAGGCTCAGGCTGGCCTGCGCAGCAGCAGAGTCCCACCCTCCATCCAGCCAGGCCCCCCTGGCCAGCTCATTCTCCTTCACTGATTAAAGTAAGGAGAGCAAGTCCCTCAGTCACAGGATCCCCAAGATGAAAGGCATTTAAAAATAGTTTGGAACACACACAAAAATCTTCCTTTACCATTAATAAGGATTTCTCTTGTTTATTTTTTTCGATGACAGCTTTTTAGAAAGAGCCTATTGTTTTGGTTTGTGAGAGACAGAAACTTGTTAGTTTTTCTTCTTTTAAGTTAAAAAAGACTAACGGGAGCTATTAGCAGTTGGAGTGAAACTCATTCTTCATTGCCAAAATCATAAATGTTATATCATGTGAAAATATAAATGTCAAAGGATTTATGGTAGGGTGGCCCTTTAAACACCCCAAATCCAATACAAAGCAATCTACTATTGTAATGCATAGACAGAAAAATATCCCTTTTTCTTTTTAGTATATTACACTGGCAGAGATACTCTGAAAATAGTTCAGGATCAGAAAAACGTTCATGGCCCTTGTGTTGTTATCTTGCAAATTGGGGACTATCTATACTCACCCTGCTCTCCCTGTAGAGCCTGCACTCAAATCCCAAATGTTCTGTGAGAACTGGCGAAGACACCTCCTCCAGGGAGCCTTCCCTGATTTACTTCCCTTTAAAAGAATCATGCTATTGACTTGAATCTTTCAGCAATTGTGGACCGAACCCTTTACCAGGATATTTAATACTGACACACACTTTCAGATCTGTTTCATTCTCTTTTAAAATGTAATGCTAATAAAATAAATAGCTGCATATTGCTAATGCACGTTATCTTAGACATATACATCTAATTTCCAAAATTAGATTGACGGTTGAGGTAGCATATTTTTAAATCACAAAATAGGGTTGTATATATTTTTCCATCTGTTTGGGGGATCCTTTCCCTTTCTTAGTCCAGAATATTCCTATTCACTTTTAAGAGCCAGCCAAATAAGGCTTCTGTTTGAATAAGGGCTTCTACGTGAAGAGCACCACTGCCCCAGCCTGGCACAATCCCAGTCCTTTGTTCGTCTTTACAAGACAGCACTCTGCCGTTTGTGTCTTTCTGGTCTGTTCTCCCATTTACCTGTCAGTATCCACTGAGTTCCGCCAAAGCAGACACATGGATCATTTATTCATGTCTGAATCCCCAGGACACAGAGAATACAAATGTGTAGGCTGTGGTACTCAATCACCGGTATTATATGTTTGAGAATGAATGCTATAACATCGCAACATTTTTAAAAATATGATACAACGATAGCCTTTTAAAGTGTGTTTTAAGACATTTGGAAATTTACACATTCTACTGGGTTACTGTACATTAAAAAATAACCCTTAAATCTAGCAGAATGATAGGAAATAAATTAGCTGGCTTAGGATGCTGTGATATTTCTACATGTGATTCAAAAATTACTCTATTTGAATAAAACTTTTGACGAATGCTGCTCAAAATGTGTTCCTAGAACGGCAACATCATCATCATCCCTGGGAACTTGTTAGAATGCACCTTCTCAGGCCTTTTCAACACCCTCTGAGTCAGAAATCCTGGGGTTGGTGGGCAACAAGCTGAGTTTCAGCAAACCTTCCAGATGATTCGAATGCTCACTAAAGTTGAATAACTATTGTGATTTTATTGGGAGGCAGAGGCACAAGAATCGCTTGATACCAGGAGGCAGAGGTTGCAGTGAGCTGAGGTTGCGCCACTGCACTCCAGCCTTGGTGACGGAGTAAGACTCCATCTCCAAAAACAAAACAAAATAAACAAACAAACAAACTATTGTGATTGTATTGAAATATGAAAATCTGTAAGCAAATACTCTAATTATAATTTTGAAAATAAGATTTAAAAAGAGGAATGCTTTGGTCTTGGATGCAAATGTTTAATTATAGGATGTGCTTATCTCACTTTTTCTTTTGTCACCTTTCATAGCTCTTTATAGCTTCATTTTCCACATATGTTTGTGAGGTCTTCAAAGCCAGAGGCCTCTAAGTCACATGACCATTATTCTAGTTAGAAATAACCCTGTTGAAATTTATTTTGACTTCTAGGATTATACGCCTTCGGTCTAAGCTAAGACTGCTATACTAATTCCTCCTCCAGCTCTGTGATCTAAGGAGGAGAAAAGTGTAAGTAGGGCCAGAACATTAACTCAACGTCAAAAGCCTTTTGTGACATGAAACAATTCAGGAGACACACAGTCCGGTCATTTCAAACTGGGCCTTATCTCTCAAGCTCTTTTATTTTGTTATTTTTTATTTCCATTTAATATTTCTTTCTCCAGAAACTCTTCACTCTTTATGATATTCCTGTATTTTTTTAAATGGCAGAAACTTTGGTATTTCCAAAAAGCAAACAAATAAATGATACTGACCTTCTAATTTAACATTTTAATATTATAGAAAATGAAACCAAAGTTAATAGGTTAAATTATTTTCTTGAGATCTTCTACTTAAAGACAGAAGCAAGATTTGTTGCTCAGTGATATGCGTGTGTGCGTGTGTATGTGTGTAAATATATAATTGGGTAGGATAGGAGGACAAATACATCCAAAAAATACAGTAATTTTCTCTACATTATTATTTTTAGTTGTTTTATAGTGTACTATTTTGAATCTTACAATACCTTTCCTGATGAAAATGCAAATAAATAAATAAATAGATGGAAATAAACTCTTGTGTCATCTCTTCTTTCTAATAATCCTACACTGTAATAAAATTTTGCCTTTAGAAATTTTTGCTCATAAACAAAATATAAAGAGTGTTTGTTAAACACAAAGTCCCAGGTGAGTCACAAATTTAGGACAGAAAAGTTGAAACATTAAAATACAAACTGAATAGGCAGTTTTAACAGCATGCATAATTTCTTAGACTTATTTTGAATCATATTCCATTAACATCTTTGTTTTATTTATTTAGGACTCTTAGCTGAAGCTTTGTTCAGGGTGTTTTGGTTCATGACATCCTAATAAGTCCTTTCATTTCTGAATTTTTTCTTTCCTCCCTCTCTTCCTGAGATGTATGTAATACTTCCTCTACATTGGATTGCTAAATTCTGTTTCTGTTGAGATATCTGCCAAGCTTACTGACTCATAGTCCAAATGCCTTTACACAGAATCTGTCGGGGAGAAATAATCCTAGAGAACCTGCTACTGGAGCCTCATTTTAGAGATAAAGAAAGAGAAACCAAGATGTTAGCTGGAATTAGCAGAATAAAAGCAGACTTCAATCCAGAACTTTTTCCACTACATGAAAAAATTAACTCCCGTACATGAAAAATGTGTAAGTCATATAAACAATAATGTTTTACTGATGGACAGTTTTTAGTATACAGGTTAAAAATCTAGACTTTAATTTCAGTCAGCCTTGGTGAGAATCCGCATTCCGTAATTTACTTGTAAGTTTTAGCAAGTTTTGTACCTTCACTAAGCCTCAGTGTTCTCATCCTTTAAGTGAGGACAACAATAGTTCTTAGCTCAGAGCTTCTATGAGGGTGGGATGAAGTGATATTTAAGTCACTTAGTTTAGTGCTTCACACTGAAAAGCACTCAACTGATTTCTCTAGTATAAGTACATTTTAAATGTTTACTCTATTGTAAATTGAACTCTTTGCTGTTAAAAATCATTATTAATATTTAAAAAGCCAACCTTTCTATCTGAATTATCTAGAGAACGATCAATGTAATATTGTTTTCTATATCCCTTTACTGATAAAAATCACAGTTTCATTTTCCACCCAAAGGTACCTTTCAATGTTCTTTGGTTGGCTCAAGTGATACGGACTTAAGCAGACTTCTGCAAGAAACAAATTTCTAATAGGAATGTTTTAACTAATTATCTGAGGAGCTCTCAGGAAGCCTGGAATCTATAAGTATATTAATGAAGAATAAAAGATTGAAAAGGACAAAAATGTATCAAACAGGAAACTGATACCTACATGTAAAGTAAAACTCCTACCTAAATTAGCATGGGTCCAATTTGAGAGCAACAAAATGCCCTGAGAAGGGAGGGTGCAGGCCCTGAACAAGCATCCCTGCTGTATGTCCACACCTCCTCTTTCTGGACTGCAGGAGGTCTCAGTTCTGGTAGAGAACCCTGAAAGCTTATTGGGAATTGCTTACTCTCAAAAAGCATGAGAATTCCTACCTAAATGGGAGATATTTTTGCTCTTCTGCTCTTAAGCTTAATATAAAAATAGGGTGTTATACATACATGTTAACTGAATCGGGTGGGGGGAGGGGGGAGGGATAGCATTAGGAGATATACCTAATGCTAAATGACGAGTTAATGGGTGCAGCACACCAGCATGGCATATGTATACATATGTAACTAACCTGCACTGTGTGCACATGTACCCTAAAACTGAAAGTATAATAATAATAAAATAAAAAAAATAGGTGAGCCTTGAAAGCAAAATGAAATATAAAAAATTTCCCCAAAATTTCTAATATAGCTTGACACATCATTAGTAGAAATAAAGAAAAGGTATATTTTTAAGGAACAAGTGAGTGTATAATAAAATATTTAAACAGAAATAAATAAACCTATACGTATATAATAATTCAATAATGACGTAAGAAATTTTTAAAATAGTTTTATAATCTAGGAAAAATCCTGGCCATTTTAGAAGATAATTTTATGACAATTTAGATGTCATTAAAAAAGTATATGACTAAGGACAAAAAACTTCTTGTCAAAGTCACAATATTTCTAAAACGTAGGTTTGAATAGGGTGCTATTTACAGTAGAATCTTGAGGCTTTAAATAAATCTAATAGGCTTATGTTTCAAACCATTCCGAGTTTCAGATTTTTAGCAAATACTTTCAAGTGACTTATTTGCAACCCAATGATACCAATAAATTCTTAAAAAGTTTATGCTCAGAGTGATCTGTGCGCAATGATCTCTCATTATTTATCTTAATTGGCTTTATCTCCTGGTGCCACCATCAGAGATCTGTCACCATAGAGATGCATTTAAGGTGCCAGCAGGAGAACAAGTGGGTTTAATCTCTTTACTTTACTTTGGTAACATATCAGTGTTATTAGAAAATAATTAAATTAATTATGCTGGCCAAATAACATAGGGCATTCTTGTATTAACTTAATCTTGTATTTTTGCTTACAGAGCTCACAGTAGTTTATAGTACTTGACATGCATTTTTTTTCTGTAAGTAAAAAAAAAAAAAATCTAAAGACAGATAATCTTTTCTCCAACTCAAGTGCTACCAAAGCCCAAATCAATATTCTGTAAATTGATAATTATTCATTGTTTCTATGATTTAGACTTTGTTAGCAGGCATATTCAATGTTCAGTCTCGGAGACGACTTTGTACAAAGAGAGAGAAGATGATGGGGGAATGGTAGCAGGCACTGTGACCCTTCCAGGCTGGACAAGGTTTCTCACGGTGCAAATAGGAGCCTGAAGGCTGTGGAGACAACTGCATATGAACTTTCTGAGGGCAGGAAATTGCGGCTTACAAATATACTTGGCACCTAGAATGGGTTCAGTGTGTGTTTATTGAAATAAATGGAGACAATAATGACTCAGCGAATAAACCTGTCTAATCTAGGGGGTGGGGGGATAACAAACGCACTACTCCCCTCAGCCACAGCCAGGTATGGCAGCCTTCGTTGCTGAGAACGCTAAAACTCTGCCCCAGATCTCTAATCCTGACCAAAACATCCTATCTTCTCGACACACAAAAAGATATTATTCAAGTGTTTGTTTAGGACATGGTTTAGAGACAATGTGGCTATGATTTATGCAGACAAAACCTCTGCTCAGCATTTTTTGCATTGATGTTTCTTGTAAATAGCAATAAATAACACCAGCAATAATTATTAAGTAAGTGACAGGGAAATCTTTTCTTTATTTACGAATTCTTGGAGTAGAGCTCCCCCTTAGCTCCCCAAAGCAAACGTGATAGACTCCAAATCTGCCACTTACCCTTGCATGATTGTTTGGTCACTCCCTCCCCATTTGTTTTTATTTTCCCAGCTAGTCAGTCATGTGTAATGATGCTTCTCTGCAACGATACTGACCACTTCTCTCTGGTGTGTAAAAAACAAGCCCTGTCAGTGACGGGCTGCAATTGTGTCTCCTTAAATCATTCTGAAGGGATCACTGCATTTGGCAACAATCAAATAAATACTCAGTTGCTTTTATTGTTTGCTAGAGCAAAGTAATACCTTTAAATGAGTGCATACTGTAGTTAAGGCATTAAATGATGGGCTATAAAACATGCATTGCCTGTCATTTATTCCCGCTATATTTTGTGATTCCTAGGGTTACTTGTTTGATGCATGGGATAGTTTGATGGTTACTATTGATTCATTTGGATCTAGCAGTAAAGTCATGAGATGGATAGAGGTAAGGTCTGAAAATGATAGTTTTCTGAGCTACATTTAAACTTCAAGCAGAAGGATGCTCAAAGAAACAGGAGCAATAATATAGTTCTTTTTTTTCCCAAGTAGAGTATGCATTGAAGGGACTGTGTCAGAAGTTATAACAATGTGGAGTCCAAGATGGGACTATTGTGGTCTTTGCTTTATGGAGCAAGATAGCCCAGGAACCTGGTGAGGCAATTTCCTGATGCAATTCTTGAACCGTCCATTAGGAGGCTCTTAGTGTATTTGTGTATTTTCATTTTTACGTAGTCATAAAGTACTAAACAAACAAACAAACAAAAAGTTAAAAACAGGTGATAAAAAAAAACACATGGCATGGGTCCAATTTGAGAGCAACGAAATGCCCTGAGAAGGGAGGGTGCAGGCCCTGAACAAGCATCCCTGCTATATGTCCACACCTCCTCTTTCTGGACTGCAGGAGGTCTCAGTTCTGGTAGAGAACCCTGCAAGCTTATTGGGAATTGGTTACTCTCAAAAAGCATGGGAATTTCTAATCTGGAGCAGCTTTAACCCTACTAATAATTTAAAGATTAGGAATGGTCATTACCTACAATATAGGAATGACCCTAGAAAAGTTTGGTGAAGGTGGCTTGATCTTTTCTTCTCAACCATAGCAAGGATGTGCCAGGGTATTCTGTCTCACTGCCCCAGTTAACCTCAGGAATCTAACTTGACCCATAAAGAAATGGACACATTCTGTTTCCTGACCCTGATACTAGTAGCTTGGAATAGAGGGTTCCCCCATATTGGCTGTCAATATGCCCAGTTTATGGGATCTTAGACTAAATATATATACCTGTCTCTCCCAGGCATTGTTTGCAAACTCTCATAGTACCTATTTTTGACACTTACTCTAGCTTCCAGTTCGACATGAAGAGGTCTAATTAGTTGTCAGTTCCTGGGTATTACCTACTCCGATGTCTCCAACTTCTGAATAAAGTTCTAATTTTTAAATTACACTAACAAACAACGCTCTGTGTCTTACACTATTTGAATAGAATGGGTGTGTATAATCAGTGAGAAATATGCCACTTAAACACATGCTTTGAATCACTAGTATATCAAAAACATTGATGTATTATAATTATACATACAAGTGAGGTATACTCTAGGAGCTATGATTTAGAAGTCAAAGTGCAGTATCAACCATACAAAATACTGGGAAGTAGTGTAAATTGCACTAAATGTATAGTAAGAGAGTTTTGATAAGCTTCTTTCATAAAGAGGGGTAATAAAAAATTAAGGACCTAAGTTTCTACCATGCAAAATCTAAATAAGAATAAGTTAAATACTGTATTGTGCAAATGCCATTCTTTAGTGATGTAAATCCATAATATATTGGTAAGTTGCCTACGTATGGTGTTTACATACACAGACTAAGGGTGTCATACAAGATGAAGGACAAGCAAATGAAAACAAGTGAAATTTTTAAGTCTCCTGCTATGACTTAAGCATTTCATTAACTTCTTACTCTTCATTTTTTTTTTTTTGCCCCCAAGCCCCATCTTGCTGGAGGGCTTGCCTGTAACCACAAAATTGACTAAAAGTTGGAGTAGTTTCCATATGCTCACCAAGCTGTAGGAATGTCTGGAGGAGAGTGCTTGTCAGGAATGCTGCAGAAAGAAATATATTTTGGGCATCCTCAGCAAGAAATGAATATAGGTTTTCTAATGGAAATATCCTTATTGTGACAAATGATGGTTTTGTGCTATGGTGCATTGTGAATCAAGTCGTCAAAGTGAAGTGTAAACAAAACTTTGGGTGCAGAAGATAATCCCTGGAGTACAGTTTTAAAAAAAAAAGGTAGAACTTTAATCTGTGTTTATTTATTTTTCAGTCCTATCTTTTTGACTTTCTATTTTTACAAATGTGTTATAATGCACACAATATATTAGGATACAATACCTGCAAAGGATTTATAATATATGGAACATGTATTCTTAAAACATTTTACTAATAGAGTTCCAAGAAAGCTTGGCGACTACAATTGATACACATACAGATACTATGATTTATATGACAGTGTTAACCTGCCTTGTGGATAGGCTGAAAATTCTTTCTCCCATTTATAACAATGACTGTGGGAATATTCTTTGTAAATAAGTCATTAGTATTATGACCTACATATGAACTCCTGTTGTTCACCAATGTGTACAGTAGGAACTCTTGAAGTCCTAATAAGAAGAAAATGTAAATTCTTACTAACAACCTCTGATTCCTGCTCCTTTTGGTATCTCAGATCAGTTTAACCGGCCATTATCCAACTGGTGGTTGGATCTATACCCTCTATCTCCTACGGCTAACTCATACATCATTTCAAAAGGGCTAGCCAGAAAATTGTAACTTCTTTCTAGTGAGCCGCATAATGATTATATCTCACATTTTTATAGCACCTTGCAGTTTACAACGCATTTTCATATCCATTATCTCATTTCATATATTGCCCACAAGCCTCTGGCTTCCTGGGATTCTATCATTCAAATCTCTCAGCAGTGACTTTAAGCACCACACTTTTCAATAATGTTGGGTTTTCTTTTATCTTGCCATTCTCTGTCAATTTTACATCCCTGAAGGGTTATGAGTTTCCTCTCTTATTTTTTTTATTTTATTTTTTATTTTTTTTTCTGAGACAGAGTTTTGCTCTGTCGCCCAGGCTGGAGTGCAGCGGTGCGATCTCGGCTCACTGCAAGCTCCGCCTCCCGGGTTCACGCCATTCTCCTGCCTCAGCCTCCCGACTAGCTGGGACTACAGGCGCCCGCCACCACGCCCGGCTAATTTTTTTGTATTTTTAGTAGAGACGGGGTTTCACCGTGTTAGCCGGGATGGTCTCAATCTCCTGACCTCATGATCCGCCCGCCTCGGCCTCCCAAAGTGCTGGGATTACAGGCGTGAGCCACCGCGCCCGGCCTCCTCTCTCATCTTAAAAATTCATCTCCCCTCCATGTCACACTGAACACAGTAGGCGGTCAATCCACACTTGTTGGATGGTTGGAGTCATTATGGGTCAGTCTGGCTTCCTCCGGTCGGGCAGGCTACTCACCGACTTACTTGAATCAAATGGCTCCTGAAACCCCACAAAGACTTCTCTATTTCTTCATCATTCCCCAAGTAGCTACAGGTAGTTTGATTTTCTGAAACACAGAATTTTTTTCCCAACATTGGTATTTACTGCACATGCTTTATTCACATCTCCATATCCAGCTTTTCTAGGAATGTTTATCTATGCTGCAGAGCTAGAGTTAGTTTAAGGAGGTATTACAGAATGTGTAAGTCCATGGTTTAGGTTGGTAGTGAATTCTGTTTGGCAACAATTACTTATCATTCAATCAGTACTGACTGTGTATTTGACAAAAACGAGCCAGGTAGTTGGTGCAGAACTTAGATAGTTGGTGTTATACTGTAGGAAAGGCTATTCCCAAATAACTGTAATACCAAGCAGACTGCGTTAAGCCTCATGAAAGACAGTTTGAATGTGTTTTCAAGTTCAAAGGAAGAAAGAGTACATTCAATTAATGCTGACAAGTTTAATAACAATCACGAGGGTTTAAGAAGTTCCTATTTATGCACAACATTTGTTAAAAATTAAATTAGTAAAAGCAAAAAGATTTAGTCTCTGTGTTTATGAGCACATTATGTTTTAATAAAAACATTAAGGGCATAAAGAGGAATCAGTATTACACACAAATACAAATTAATTGTTAAAAGTAGTAGCAGAGAATTGAAAGTGATAAAAATTTAATATTTCTCAAGCTGTCCCTCATTACTTTCAAGTGATCTAGAGACGTGATTCCTGCCTACATCCCAGTACAGTGGAGAGTCATAAAAAAATGGGTAACATGGGAATTCTATTCTATTGAGCAGCCCTAGCATTTTGTTCAAGGAGTTGTTAGGACTGTGGTTCCCTTTAGCAAGATGTGGCTTCAACATCCATAATTCAACTTACCTGTTCATTGAATTACAGTGATTCTGCTGAGAGGTGTGGAAAACACATTCTCCACAAGAAAACATAATGACAACACAGAGAATGTTCTGAAAAAATTGCTTGCCAGCTTTCAACACTCTGTCTCAAAGACTGACTTCAGGGATACATGTTTTCGTTTTAACCACTTTCCCCCTACTATTTCTTAAAGCCACTGGCTCAAAATTTAGAAGACTAAGATAATGAGAACTCTCTCCTGTGTGTTTTAGCTATTTAACTTAAGATAGTTAACCAGAATTTATACTTATTTAACATTTTATGATGAACCAGAAATGCCGATTTTAGCTCCCAACCACAGGTGAACCTTTTGACAAGTGAGTTTTAGAAAGTGTCATGCAGATACTTCTGCCTTTTACAAATGTGCAGAGAAAAAAATCATAAGTACATGGGAATTGAACTTCCCTGGTATATAATATTTATGCCTTTAGGGTACAGAAAAATTGGCCAAAAGCCAGTTCCTAAATAAATATTCATTGATTTTACCCTAAGGGCACTTGTATCATATTTTACTAATAAGGATGTTGTTTATAGAGGTGGCATTATAAAGAGTAGAGGCTAACGAAATAGCACTTTTATTATCTTTGGTTTCTCCTGAAAAAGAGAGAAAGAAATTAAGAATGTGCATTTTGTTGCCTAAATGAACTGAAAAAGTCCCCAACGTGTCAAAACAAATAAATATCTATTAATTAGTCTATGGTTGAACTGTAAGAATGTTGACGAGGCTGTAGTGTTTCTGGGCCTAAATCTAATTATAAAGGCCAATATCCCCTTGAATGTACATTTACATCTGCATAAATGATCTGTTTAAAATGCTATTATAAAATTATTTACTAAAACCTTTCTGGAAATTTTGTATTTGAGAAAGTTATTTCAAAGTGTCATTCTCTAAAAGCTTCTGAACTGATTGCATAGGAACTTCATTTTTGTTCTATCCCGTTCTCTGAACAAAGTTGTTCTTGTTTAGTTGAACGACCATTTGGCAGTAAAACTTCCGTAGTTTCAGCTTCCACAGGTGTTTGTTTTATGAGAGGGGCCACAACTGCAGACTGAAATAGGGCATATTGAGAACATATATGATATTACACAATCTTCCTTTGCTGTTCTTCAACACCAGGAAAGTGTCAGTCTGCCGCTGAGATCCCAATGGCTTTGGAAGAGGAACAAACTTTTCTGAGTTTTGAAGGTTGACGTCCACATGAGCAACCATACTCTCCTATAAAATTTTCCTTTGTACCACCATCAAAGACAATATTCTGTACTGACTCAGTGACTGTACCACAGATCTCAATCTGTCCGACATTTCCTACCTTCTCAAATAATACACAGAGGTGAGATCTGAATAAATTTTAAGGAGCTAAGTTTTCCCTTTGGATAACAAGAAAAATAGATTATGTCAGGATTGCAATATATAATTGTTATAATATGCATGAAGTTATCTTGATTTATATCTACAAATAAATAAATTCCCTGTTTCGAAGAATTACTCAGTTAGTTGTATTAATTATACTATATTATAATCAGGTATTTTTAGTTTTGCAAAGTATCTTTTCCACATTTGTGTGGTTTATACTTAGGGTAATGCTGAGCATTAGATAAATTAGATGTGGAGTTTAGTAGTTCTCAGATCCTGAAATGAGCTGCTTTCATATTAGGAACACCCATATTCTAATAATATGCAGGTTGTTTGGACCCAGTACTGGGATTAGAATCTAGTTTCCTTACTTCTGGCCGAAACGTTTTGTTGTGGTTACTTTATTTATTTATTTTGTTATTATATAGCATCAATTGTTGTGTTGTCACATGGAATAAAGCAACATAGTTTAACAGTTTATAGTTTTAATATAAACTAAAGGTAAAATCCAAACTAGAGTAAGTCAGCAAATGTTGAGTGCTATGATAGGATTAGCACCACACTAGAGGCTACATAAAATAAAACTCCACCCCAAGGAAGATTGTTATCTAACCAGAGGAATATAGGAAACATCTTCAGATATCAGAAAATGTAGTTCAATGAAAAATTAGTATTCACGCACCATCTAAAATAGGGGTTCAGAAGTGGGAGATAGATTTAGAGACTGCACAGTAAGATTCATGGACGACAGTTTGAAATGAGCAAGCTACATTTTAGCATCAGTGAGTACAGCATGCTTACTGGAAGAGAGGGTCATGCAACAGATTAGGAGGTAAGTTTGCAAAGGCAGGCTAAGGGAGGAGACGCACTGAATGCCATGGTAAGAACTCTGGACATAAAAATATTGGAAGTTGTTGAGCAAGTGAAAAAAATGTTTGGAAGTGTTACTTTAGCAATGGCAAGAATGATAGTATGGAATAGATTGGCAGAATGAAGGCAAAATGATTAGACATATTGCATTAAGGTAAAAAATGATAACTGAAGAATTATGTGCCACACTTATTAATAAGAAAGAATATGTGAACCTTGCAGATGTTTCCCTCTAGTAGAACCAGAGGCCAAGAGGAACCTAGTAACTCAAACAGATCTTTCAGCAATCAGTAGAAGAGCTCTTCACATCTTCATAGGGTCAGCTTGCTTAGATATTGAATCATCTTGCCAATTCCTTCATGACCCACAGTGAAGCCTCATACTTGTTCATTTCGTTCCTTATGGTCTCTGTGTAGTATCTTCTGGTTTTCTAGACACTGTAGTTAAGATTAATTTGTTTATTTATTTATTTGTTTATTTTTGAGATAGAGTCTGGCTCTGTCACCCAGGCTGGAGCGCAGTGGCACAATCTTGGCTCACTGCAACCTCTGCCTCCCGGGTTCAAGTAATTGTCCTGTCTCAGCCTCCTGAGTAGCTGGGACTACAGGTGCATGCCACCACACTTGGCTAATTTTTTGTGTATTTAGTAGAGACAGGGTTTCACCTTGTTAGCCAGGATGGTCTCAATCTCCTGAGCTCGTGATCCACCCGCCTCACACTCCCGAAGTGCTGGGATTACAGGCATGAGCCACCGCGCCCGGCCGAGATTTATGTTATATCAAGAAATTCAACCATCCCTCAGTGTCCATGGGTTCTGCATCCTCAGATTCAACCAACCCCAGATTGCAAATATTAAAAAATAAAAACAACAATAAAAATAACACAACAATAAAAATAATAAAAGGCTGTATAACAACTGTTTATATAGCACTGACAATGTATTAGGTATTATGGTTACAGTAGGCAGACAGTTAGACATGAGTGGGACATGGGGGGCATGAAAAAAGGCAAGTCTGGAAAACCTGACACCAGAAACCAGAAACCTGCATGCTATGGATGACCAGACAAGAGGGGAAATATCTGCAGAAAGAAACACCCCTTAAGACGCCCAGTAATTGCTCACTCTGCAGTTAACTTGTCAGAATGTAGCTACCTAAATGCTGATAAGGAGGGGAAGAGGTCAAAGGAGAAACTCCTAAGATATACAAAGGCACAGTAAGTGCAGATTTAACTGCTATGAGGCTTTCCTGGGGTGGCAGTAATGAGCAACACCACCACTAGGTAGAATTCGTATCCGGGCCTATGCAGGTGCATCAGCTGACAGTAAGGGGGAATCCCACAAACCTGGGATGGGAACTAGCTGGAGAGAGGTGGAGACAAGGCAGCAGCGAGAAAACTAGACAAAGAAAAAAGATGGAGACTTAAGACAGGGGTGGAAACTTCAAGAAAAATCCGACGTTGTAAAAACCGAATGCCGATCTCTCAGGGCTGCTACTGGCTCATTCTCTTTCAGCAGCCCACTCTGCCTCGTCTTTCAGAGTGTCCTGTCTCTCTAAATCAACTCTCTGCTATTTTCCTTCGATAAATTCTCCTCTTTGGCTAAATTGTCTCTTGGCTGAATTCTTTCTCCCAAGTTAGACAAGAACCAAGATTTGTGCACTTCCTGGTAACATTGCAAGTAATCTAGAAATGATTTAAAGTATATGGAAGAATGTGCATAGGTTATGTGCAAATAGTCTTTTTTTTTTTTTTACAAGGGACTTGATTCTCATATCTGTGCGGGTTCCTAGAGCCAATTCCTCAAGGATACCAAGAGACCACTGTATTTGTATGTACCATAGCCACATTTTCTGCAGACATCCCTGAGCTACTTTTGAAGAATACATCTGTAATTTAACCGTCACACTTAATGGCTAACTGAACACATGGAAGAAATAGTGTTGGGGAAAAGATATAATTCAAAAATAAATATGTCTGATCCTGGATAGTGAGAGAATAACCAATATTAAGTGTTTCTCAAAATTTAGTAAAGAATATACAAAATACCACAAAAATGTTATCACACTTAATTTTTATTAAAGTGCACTTAATATTGTTTATCTGCTTATAAACAGCAAATTAGCCCTTATAAAACTGAAAAAGTACCCTCAAACTTTAAAAATCTGTAAAACCAGTACAACTTAAAGTAACCGTTTCAAGTTTTTTACATAAAAAAGCAGCAAATCGTGTCACTCACAGCAACATGGATGAGCCTGGGGTACATTATGTTAAGTGAAGTAAGTCAGGTACAGAAAGATAAACACTATATGTCCTGACTCATATGTGGACCTTAGAAAAGTTGATCTCCTAGAAGTAGATAGTAGAATAGTGATTACCAGAGGGGGGAAAGGGTAAGTGGAAGGGGAGATAGAAAGAAGTTGGTTAAAAGAAACAAAATTACAGCTAGGCAGGAGGGGTAAGTTCTAGTGTCCTATAGAGCTATAGAGTGATTATCGTAAACAATAATTTATTGTAATTTTTCAAATAGCTAGAAGAGACGATTTTGAATGTTACCAACACAAAGCAATGATAAAGTTTTGAGATAACCGATATGCTAATTACCTTGATTACATATTGTTTACATGTATCAAAATATCACACTGTAGCCCATAAATATGTACAATTATTATGTTTCAATTAAAATATATATGTTAAAAACATGTAACTTTCCTGTCTGAAAAATAAATAAAAGAGGCATAATATATTATCACTGATAATGTTGTTTAGAGGAGACTAAACGGCCACTTGCAATATTACTAAATTTTAAAGTGGAAACTTTTATAAATTCCACTTTGTATTATTTGTCAAGTAATGACTTAATTCTCCCAACAATTTTCTGCATTCTAACGACAGTGAAACAGGTGATTCCAGCTTTCTTGGCTTCAGATGGCTTTAACTTAACGTTAACACTTTATTTAACTGATTTATCTTTCTCTCACTCTCTCTCTCCCCGCCCCCTCATGGTTTCTTACAAACTATAGCAGTACAATTTGAAATTGCATGGTACACAGTATTATAAGGTGGTTAATCAGGATCCCATTAGCATTCATATATCAACATATTTAAAGATTAATGAAGAATCAAAACACAGAGATGCACACTTAATCATAAAAATCTCATGGGAAACTCATGAACCCCTGAAAATAGGTTTGAGGGTGTCCAATTTCTGGGAAAATCAGGTTTGAGAAACACACATAAAACAGTGAAAGTCACAAAAGAAGAGAAGTATTTACATTTTTGTTTGTTTGTTTGTATTCCAGGAACGATGATTAATTTTCTTTGGGCTAAGCAGAGGTAGAAATGACAGGAGAACATTTTCAACTAAATGATGTATATGAAAATTTTACATTTTCCTTGTAAGAGTTGCTGCCTCCAAACACACATTTTCCTCAGTGAGAGCAGTATTTATAATATATATAAAACACTCCAGATTTTCGTTCTGTAAATCTATTCTTTCTGGGCTTTTAGCCAAGATGTAGGAACATGCTGATAACTCAGGTGACAATTTCTATATCACCTAGGTCATTACTATAGTTACAAATGGAATATTTGAGTTGTATGAAATTTATAATTCCATTTAACAAAAAAGGAGGGAAAAGCCTGACTTTTTTGCATTATTTGCCATTTATTTCAACTGCAGTTCTTTGAGAGTGGAAGACGGGCGTCTACATGGTTTGAACAATAACCACAATAGTCAGACTTATGTTCTTGCCAGTGGGTGAAAAAAAATCTAAGGGAATCTTCAACTCTTAAGTAAATGTGAAGTTGCTAGAGGACACTGTTTCCTCCTTAATCCTTTAAATACTGGAATGTGGTTCATAGTTTTGTCCCCAAATGCTCTTGGATATGTTCAAGTCTCCTAGGTCCTCTGCTGCTCCTTTAGAAACCCTCTGTTTCAACCATACTGGTGTAAGCAGATTTTTTTTTCTGTCTGATCTCCTCTAAAGAGGCTATTGTGAGTCTTGCCCTGCTAAGCTTGAGATCACTGTGGAGATACAGAGATGGGCAGACAAGGAACAAGCGAGGAGGTGAATAAGTCCCAACAGGTAGAAAGTTCTGAGCTCAAAGGCTGAGAAGCCAACCTTAGGTCTTAACTCCATGGGACAAAAGAAGGGGAAGGGGACAAATGATAACAACTTTTGTGTTCTGAATGGGGAAGAACTGGTGTAAAGGATGAGTGAATTATAGCCAGATGCAAGCTGAAGGCGTTTAGGCAGATGGCCCTACACAGCACAGAACAGCCCTCTAGTAACAAGGCTTCTATGGCTCAGGTAAACATGGCCTGGTCTCCAGGCATAAGGAACTCCTGTTGCTAATTAAGAAAAGTAGGTTGCACTTTGGGAGGCCGAGGCTGGCAGATCACTTGAGGTCAGGAGTTAGAGACCAGCCTGGCCAGCATGGTGAAACCCCATCTCTACTAAAAATACGAAAATTAGACAGGCACAGTGGCTCATGCCTGTAATCCCAGAACTTTGGGAGGCCGAGGCTGGCAGATCCCTTGAGGTCAGGAGTTCAAGACCAGCCTGGCCAACATAGCAAAACCCCATTTCTACTAAAAATAAAAGAATTAGCCAGGTGTGGTGGTGCATGCCTATAATCCCAGCTACTGGGAGGCTGAGGCAGGAGAATCACTTGAACCTGGGAAGTGGCAGTTGCAGTGAGCCAAGATCACGCCACTGCACTCCAGCCTGGGCAACAGACTGAGCCTCTGTCTGAAAAAAAAAAAAAAAAATTGCCGGGCATGGTGGTGGTGGTGCGTGCCTGTAATCCCAGCTACTCGGGAGGCTGAGGCTGGAGAATCTCTTGAACTCAGGAGGAGGAGGTTGCAGTGAACTGAGATCATGCCACTGCACTCCAGCCTGGGTGACAAAGCAAAACTCCATCTTAAAAAAAAAAAAATTAAAAAAGAAAGAAAAGTAGGTTGATGATCTTATGATGGATCCTGTGTAGCGTGAAGCTGCTAGAATGTGTTAAATTCATACTGAGCAACATGCAAGGATGTTCAAGACATATTGCAGAGCAAAATCAGAAGTAGGCAATCCAAACACGTAAACAAAGCCTGGAACATAAATGGAGGAAATCCTTGAGCCTGGAGATCCAGTGTCTCACATTTTCAAGCAGTAGGACTTTCAAAGTGACTGCAGAACTGCTTGAGGGAACACGGAGATAGCACAGCTAAAGAATGGTAGAGTGTTTCTTTGATAATAAATCTGCAGCATGAATAATAAAATACCACTTGGAAATACTTCCATTAGTTCACCTCTGGGAACTTATCTGAAGGGACTAATAGAGGTTGTACATATGTACAGAGGTTCTCCTTATGACATTATCACTAAGAGGGAAAACTAGAAAACAAGATGAATGTTCAACTGTGGTACACGTGTAGCCTGAAGCTGTTAGAATGTGATAAAAATGATACCGAACAACAAGCAAGGATGTTCAAGACACATTGTAGAGCAAAATCAGAAGCAGGCAATAAAACCACGTATAAACTGCAGTACGAGTCAAAGTTCCAACTAGGAATGGATGGCACCTCCTTCTTATTAGGACAATTCCCAGACAGTTAAAGAAAGGAACCATTGATCACGAGGTCAGGAGATCGAGACCATCCTGGCTAACGCAGTGAAACCACGTCTCTACTAAAAATACAAAAAAAAAAAAAAAAAAAAAATTAGCTGGGCGTGGTGGCGGGCGCTTGCAGTTCCAGCTACTCGGGAGGCTGAGGCAGGAGAATGGCGTGAACCCGGGAGTCGGAGCTTGCAGTGAGCCACGATCGCGCCACTGCACTCCAGCCTGGGCGACAGAGCGAGCCTCTGCCTCAAACAAACAAACAAACAAAACAGAGGAACCACTGATAAAGGTGTAGGTGGAATGTTCCGAAAACCCCAAGAAGTTCCAAAGGAAAATTCTTACCGTGCCTTGGGTGGCAGGGACAGACAAGGGGCAGTTCCCACAACCCAGAAGAGAGTTGCTGAGGGAAGTGTGCCTGGCGGGGAACTGAGAACTGTGGCCAAGGGACACAGACAGCTTGAGGTGATCTTGGAGGGAGGGAGCCAGAGAAAGAAACCCTGATCTCACTCTCTTATCTCCTTCTCATCTCCCTGGCTATCTCTCTCCCTGACAGACAAAATCCAGACCCAGAGAGACCTTGATGCCTCTCAGGACAGAGGGCGGGATGGGAAACAGCATATCTAAGAAAGGGACTTGGAATACAGTAGCCCCCCAACTCACTGAGGGCATACCTTCCCAGACCCACAGTGGATGCCTGAAACCACAAATAGTAAGCAACCCTGGCCGGGCGCGGTGGCTCACGCCTATAATCCCGGCACTTTAGGAGGCCGAGGCGGGTGGGTCACGAGGTCAGGATTTTGAGACCAGCCTGACCAACATGGTGAAACCCTGTCTCTACTAAAAATACAAAAATTAGCCGAATGTGTTGGCGCACGCCTGTAATCCCAGCTACTAAGGAGGCTGAGGCAGGAGAATCGCTGGAACCCGGGAGGCAGAGATTGCAGTGAGCCGAGATCGTGCCACTGCACTCCAGCCTGGGTGACAGAGTGAGACTCTGTCACAGAAAAAATAAATAAATGAAATAAAAATAAATAAATAAATAAAAATAGTATGGAATCCGATATATAGTATTTTTTCTATACCTATATACGTATGATAAAGTTTTACTATAATTAGGCACAGTAAAAGATTAACGACAGCTAATAGTAAATTAGAAGAATTATAAGTATATACAGTGGACCCTCAATATCCACAGGTTCTGCATCCTTGGATTCAGCTGACCCCAGATTGAAAATAATCCAAAATGTTTTTTAATTTAAAAATTTACAATTATAAATAATACAAATAAAAATACATTAGAGCACTTAGTTACATAGCATATGCATTGTATTAGGTATTACATATAATCTAGAGATAGCTTAAAGTATACAGGAGGATGAGTGTAGGTTCCCAGACCAAGACTCACAGTGATGATGCTGATGGCTGGATGTCAGAAGCAGCCACATCAGTGACTAATGGGTGGGTAGTGTCTACAGTGTGGCTATGCTAGACAATTGGATGGCCCAAATGTGAGGCAGGACAGAGCAGGATGGCATGATATTTCACCATGCTACTCAGAATGGCACACATTTTAAAATGGATAAATTTGTTTATTTCTGGAATGTTTCTTTTAATATTTTCTGGACCATGGTTGACCACAGGTAATGGAAACTGAGTAAGGTGAAACGGCCGGCAAGAAGAGATTAGTCTATATCTGCGCAGCTGCCATAACATTGATTACGTATAAATAAATGCATTAAAAGTCCAGTTGAACACTGGAATTCCAGTAGTAGTTATCTCAGAATAATTGGGTGATGGTGAAATTTTGTCTTCTATAAATTCACCATAACCCAGGAGCTGCATTTGATGCTCTTTCTATAACGAACGTTCATTGTGGAAAGAGAAGCTTGCTCATATTTATTTTATTGTATAATTCAAGTTGTAATATCTATACCGATTTTCAATATGAAGGTTTTGTACTTATGGTAATTATTTAAATTAAGAAAACTAGTTCTTGGGAATTCTGAGGAGAAAAAGGTGGCCCAAGCATGCACTTTAATCACTCTCTCAAGTGGTGTGAGGCAAACACATTTAATCTAAGGTAAATGTATAAAAGTAAATGTGTGATGATATGTGGAAAAAAGGACCGAATGCTAAATTTTATTCTATAGAGACGAAATTCATTTAAAGAAACCCAACATTTTATCTGGTTTTCTATGCTTTACATATTCACCTGAAATAGTGATATAAAGTTCGATCTCAAAAATATGCTAATGACCAAATTGCCAGTGAAAACATGTCAAAAGTTGGAAGTTATAAAGAAGCATAGAGTTTGATTCAGAAATGAAATAGAGGTACCATGGCTCAAGAGAACTAGGTACAATATCAGAATTATCAAAAAATGAAATAGAAATGCATGTGTGCCTTTGGCAAGGAAGTCAACAATACATGATGTAGGTTTTAAAAAATATGTGCAAGCAGGACATTCTAGATGTAAAGAAAAAAAAGTCTCTGGATTTTTCAGTCTTCTAGGAAAAACTGCACGCTAAAAAATAAAATTTATTCAGAAGTGTTAACTTTAGATTTGAATGCTTCTCATATAGTTGCAATGCTCACAATGGACACCCCTATCCAACTTCTAACCTATAAGCCCAGATAAACTCATCACATGCTACTTTTATGATCATTTTAACATCAGTGTGTGGATTTATCAAAATTAATATAGGATTACTGTTCAAAACAATCAAGAAGCAAAGAATAAACAAAAACATCCATTTGTCTGATTGGGGAAGAAATTGTTTTGTGATTAGTAGGTATAATTAGTAGGTTTTGGCTTGAGAAGAGTGAGGCAAACCATAAGAAATTTAGGCTCACATAGATGATATGATGAGATAAAAAAGGTATTTTCTGAAAGCACTAGAATCCAGCAGTAACTTTTCAGTAAAAATAGAAAGTAAATCAAGAGAAAACTACAAGATAAAAAATCAACAAATGTCAAAGACTTTCAATTCTTTATTATTAAAGCACTTGGAATGACATTTAAGGGTCAATTAAAAAGTTCTCAGGGGAATCTATTGTCCTTTTTTCTTAGTCACCAGGATTAGGTAACTATGCCTGGCAAATTGTGACATATAGGTCTTCTATCATTTTTCCCAGAACTTTACTAATGTCACATATACATTGCATTATTCAAGCAGAGAATTCCATTTAAAAATGAATCTCTCATTTATCACTTGTAAACTATCTTCATTTTTGGCTTTTTGCTATTAAAACACATCAAGCTCCCTGTCAACACTCAGTTTATTTTGGCAAGGAGCCTGGGGAGGGCTGGGCTATTGAGGAGCTGAGTCACATTACCACATGCAGTACATTTTGTCTGGTTTTCTTGTCTCATATTTGCATATGCATGAGTAAATCCATAGAAGGAAAATAGCACATGAATTGCTTTTACGTGATAGAATGACGTCGACAATTTGAACTGCTTTGGGTGTCAGAAACCCCAGTATTAACCGATGTTCTGCAGAGTTTAGCCAAGTCACGTCCTTCTCTGTTTCCTGATCAGAAACACAAAAGTCGTGATTTCCCCCAAACTTAACAAAACTGTTTGGCTCAGGTGTATGAGAATTTGTGATAAGCAAAACATATAAATTATTCTTAAAATTTTGAAGGCAACTAAAAAATCAAAGGGGTTGGAGAATAGTACAGAGAAGATTTAAAATAATGTGTTCACAATTTTCAGAGGAGAACTAGATATCAATTTATGTCCATTTGAAATTTTTTATCTGCAGTGGGAGAAAGGGGAAAAAGAGAAAGAGAATATTTACGTGAAGCCTTGGATGCACGTAGAAGCTTTATAACAAGCATGGAGAGGAAGCAACCCTACTTTTATAAGTTTACAGGGCTGCCTGGGAATAACTTTGGGCCTCAAATTATTCCCCATACCAAAGAGCTCATCATATTCCCTTGTATTTAGGTTAAACCATTACAAAAGCTCATTAAAATGTAAATACTACCTTGAAAGGCTATTGAAACATTTTCAGTCATGTAGCTATTCAATTACCCAGCAGAGTTTGGAGAGAAAGGATTGTAAGGAGATGCTTTCCTAAATAGAGGAATAAAAGAAGCTAGAACAGGGCCCCAGTTCTAAGCTTTAGTATGTAGTAAAGAGGACTAGGTCTCTGGACAAGAAATAGCCTAAGTAAGGGCACTGAAGAGAAGACAAAAAAGGAAAGAAGTATTTAAGATTCATAAAGAGTTTACTAAAATGAGAGTTGTTTGCATTCACAAAATGCCTGTAAATCAATCTCATGGGTGTATACTTTCACACCAACAGAAGGCAGCATCTTTATACAGAGTTTAGCAAGATATTATGTTCTGTTTTGTAGATGTGAATAGTCTACCAGGTTAGTATATTCAAGGCAAAGTTTATATACATAGAAGAAAAAAAAAGAGACAAGCTTACCATAAAATTATAGTTTTATCAGATACAGCATTAAGGAATTTGTCTAAGGCTGTGTACACAAGATGAGATTGACTCTTAGGGGAAAGCAGGGAACCAACAAATCACTTGCAGCATGTTTATGGCAGTTGTGCAAAATAGGTATTATTATATTCAGTCTGAAAACTAATTTAAATGTCTCAGAGGGGTGAAGTAACTTGCCTGAAATCACACAGCAAGTAAGAGCTGGAGGTAGGTCTACAAGTGAGTTCTAACTGATCCTAAAGTCTACGTTCTTTTTACTACCCAGTTTGTATGGAAGGGGAAAAAAACTTTCGAAATGGTTAAATTTTTTACTTTTCTTGATTGTTTTTCTGCAATGTAGTCTAAACCATGGCTCTCATAACCTGTACATCATATATTTACATAGCTTAAGATTAACTTATAAAAAAAGAACTTCGTTGTAATTCTGTCATAGTTACCAACTTCCATGACATGGCAGAATTTGTGAATTGTACTTTTAAACATAATTCTTGGTAACTTACTTAACAGAATTACGGGCTCCTACCGTAAGAGAGCAGGAATTTACAAGTAACAGACGTGCTATTTTCAAAATGCAAAGTGCCTGTAAAATATATTGCTTTGCTAACTGCATAACTAGCTGTGATAGTTAGCATGATGCTAATACATCAAGCTAATACACCAACTTTACCTGATAGCAGAAATACAACCCCGTAAATAAACAATTATCAGGTGGAGGAAAGAGTTATAATTTATTAATTTACTTATCTTGGCAACATAATTACACACAGAGCTCCTCCGTTATTATAAGCAGAAGCTGAATTCAAATGCCCTAAAGGCAAGAAGTTTCTCTCGTTACAGCATCCAAAACGTATAGAAGTAAAAAAGTGATGATACTCAACCAAGAGGTATAAACAAGTGAAACTTCCAAGCTAGAGCAGTAATAGAGATTGATGTTTGCCATGGATGCTGTAGAAGGGTGTCTTCTGAAGACATTCACCATGACTTGTTAGAGAAACAAAGACTATACCAGGAATACAGTAATTAATCACCCCTCTATGTTTTCACTGTCTGAATCAATGCTTAGGGAAAGGCAAGCCGAGAAATAACACAACGAAGGAGTCATTTTTGGGTACATAATAAAGCACAAAGTATTCTCTACTTAAGCATTTAGTTTGCTTTCAAACATCACAGAATTCTTGAAAATTTAAATACTAGATTGAGTCAGCTCTAAAATTTAACTTATGGTTGAAACTAATACATTGCAAAATTTGAAAATATAAATGTAGTCTAGTCAAAACTGTACAGTCTTTATTGGTAAGTAATATCTTTCAGACACAAACATTTTTAACTTTCAAAATGTACAAGCCCATTCTCTGACTCCAATTAACCAAACAAATAAGAAAGAAAAACCAGTAAAACAACAACAACAGCAACAACAACAACAAAAGCAAACTGTGGCCATACTCTAAGTTACTGGCAATTTCCATGAAAATTATCTACATCCATCCAGAACTGAAACAAATGTGATCAAACTGAACTGTGTTAGTTGTATCTTACTTCAACAGGTATTTCTTCTAAAAATCACCAGGTTAATTAATTATTCTTACTAAAATAGAAAACTGCGCCAGTTTGTCCTTTATACTTAATGTCAGCACCATGAACGATAATCTGGAGCTTAAGATAATTAATACTATATATCCTCGCCTTTGAACAACACAGCTGTCAGCCATGGGGCTTTAAAATTAATAGGCTCTTCAAAGCTATAAATCAGAAATGATGATAATTTTATATAATATTTCTTAAAAAGGCACTTACCTTTTAAAAAGGAAAACACACTTCTGGCAGCAAATTGCCTGTTAAAATAAAACATATCATTTATTGGTATCCAGTAAATGATATAAAGAATGATGCATTGTTATACTAAGCACAATTACAGCACAACTTTAAAAAAACTTTTCCTGACCTCATTTAGTTTCTTTTTTACCCGAAAAGAAAATCACCTCCTTGGTGGTAATAATTAAACGCTTTTCTGTTCATTGCATGTGCACTGAAACCACAAAAGCTAATGAGTTTCATGTCTGAGAGCAAAAACAGAAATTACGGGGCACATTATCCAGGTCATGGGTATAGATTGGAGCATATTCCACTCAACGTCTATAATGAGAAGCATGTGAATTAAGGTCTATTCCAGAAAATTTAAAGGTTAGGTGTCATAGAGAATTTCATTTCTACTAGATAAAAATAAAATACCACTGGGTAGAAGTTATTAATATCAAATGTACTCTTTTCAAATATTACATTAGTTATTTGAGTTCCTTATATACTTTTCACTGTGCTGCATTAACGTCCAAGAGATTTTTATTTACAATACCTCACAAATATCACTGAGATAAAATAAGGTAAAATCAAGGTTTCATGCAATGTATACTTGAAACAAGCTGGCCAGAATCAATAAAACATTTAATCCCAACCAGAGGAAAGGAGGGATATACTGGGTAACTAGAAGGAGAAACAGCAGCAGAAGAAACTCTTTTGATTGTTTACTTTCCTGTAGGACCTGAATTGGTTTTCTCAGAAGTGAAAACCAAAAGTATCGAGTATAATTTCCTTAGGAACTCTGCTTTATTTGCATATGCAAGACTACGCAGATGCATTTTTTTCAGCTGTCTCTGTACGTCACAAATGCTGACGTTTGAGTTTCTCAAATTACAGAGAATTGTTTTTAACTTTGTTTTATTGTCTCTTCAAAACAAGTAAAATCCCAATGCTTGCAAAATTGATAAGTGTAGATACTAATTTGTAAACAGAGGTAGATGATGTTGCAAAGTCATCTGAGTTAACTTGAGTGTTAAATTGTCAGGACAGCAAAATTGCTTCTCACTCCAGTCCTAGACTGACTCTCTAACAAGATTTAGAAAGGGGTCGGGTGCTCAGAGGTGGATGGAGTGGCGGTCTGGTAATTCTCTTGGCTCCTTGGGAATGGCTCTCCTTCTGAGCAGACCTTCCTCTCCTGGTGCCCTGTCTCTCATATTGCACTCGTTGGAACTGCATTTCCTCCCTGATGGTGCCTTCTCAAGCAATTAAAGGCAAAACTGACTAATAGTAAATGAAACAATTAATACAAATTTTCATCCGTCTACAGAGATGATTTTAAGATGTCTCTTTGCTTTGATATAAACAGAAGCATTTAGGGCAAAATAAATTTCTCAAGTTTTAGTTCCGTTAGTTCTTGAAAATAAACAGTTTATTACTGAACCAGCACACAAAAACAGTTTTCTTCCCCCACTACTGCCACGATAGCTGAATTTCCACAATCTCTCAAAATGGCTATTACTTTAGCTTGCTAAGAGTCTTCACAATTCTCTAGCTATTCATGCACCTAACCCCAACCCTAATCCTTTATCCACACAGATGTTAAGAGTGTTTTTTTTTAATAAGCAGGTATAATCAACTTTCAATCCTACCTAACTATTGCAACATTTTCTTTTTATCGCTCATTTGAAAATCCTTGACATGGTCTCCAAGACTTGTTCAGAACCCTGCTGACTTCTCTGTTCTAATTTCCCCAGCACCCTCCTTACTCATCATTCTGCAGAGACACTGGCCTTTCTTTTATGCTAAAATGTGCATCCCTATTTCCTTTCTCAGCCTTGGGACCTTAGCAAATGCGAGAGCTGAGAAAGTCACTTCCCTCATCTAATTCTTGCTCTAACTTTTGAATCCCAAACATCCTCTCATTAAATAATCTTCCTCGAATCCTAAGCTGGATCCCTTTTGCAATATTGTAGTTGTCTTTTGCTCAGTTTTCCATTTTCAAGCATTGCAGAGACAAATTCTGACTCTGCTTAATCCCCTTTTGGATAGAGTGGACATAAAATTTATTGCTCACACTGGAAGACTTTTGAGATTAAAGAAGGAAGTAAATGAACAAGATGCTAGCACACTAATGTGATCCAGCACTGGGCTCGGCAAACCGGGGGCATATGGTCAACCACTCTGTGGAGGGAAAAGTTACCATTTCATCTTAAGGCTGCCCAACATGACCTAAAGGGACAAGATGCAAGCAGCTGATGAGCTTTAAAAGCTGATGGCTACTCACATGACGTGTTATACAAACAGTCAAAGTGTGAACAATTTTTAGTGTTTTTCCCTGTTGTAAACAACTATGATAAAACATTTCCCTAAACAGCTCAAAGTAACATCACAACAGTATGCAATTAATGCATCAGGTTATAAATAGCTGGACTATAGCCCAAATCAAGGACACCAATTAAGTGATATCTGGGCTTCATTCTGTGCAAGCCAGGGCTGTCATTTCTCAGTCTTGCTGCCAACTTCTCTCTGGTTAGAAGCACATTCCTATCCATCAGCTTCCCAATCAAGGGCTGCGGCAAATGACCTTAACTCTTCTACCTGAGTGCACTGGTGATAGACATAAGTTCAGTGGAAGAGAGGTGGCCATTTAGCTCTTCTAACAGCTTTGCAAAGTCCTCTTTGAAAATATTTTAGGGTGAGGCGTGAACACTATTTTAGTGTGAGGAGAAGCAATAGACCCTTCCCTTCAGAAACTGATCTTCAAATGAACTATCCACAGAAAAAGATAAAGAAGAAAAAGCTGGGAGGCCAGTTGTGGTGGCCCATGCCTGTAATACCAGTGTTTTGGGAGGCCAAGGTGAGAGGATCACTTTAGGCTAGGAGTTTGAGACCAGCCAGGGCAACATAGTGAGACCCCCATCTCTATATTTTTTTTTCTTAAGTCAGCTGGATGTAGTGGCACATGCCTATAGTCCCAGCTACTCAGGAAGCTAAGATGGAAGAATTGCTTGAGTTCAGGAGTTTGAGGTTACAGAGAGCTATGATTGTATCCCTCCAGTCTGGGTGAGAGAGTGAGACCCTGTCTCAGAAAAAAAAAAAAAAAAGAAAGAAAAGAAAAAAAGAGCATGAGCATTTCGATTTTTGAAATGTACCACCTTTCTTGACATGGTCAATACTTCTGGGTAAGTTCATCTCCTTTTGTGAGAATGTGTGTGTGTGTGTGTGTGTGTGTGTGTGAGACATAGGAGTTATTGGGTGTGCAAGGTAACTTATTTTTCGTTATTTGGAGGTTGAAGGAAAGAGTGAGTGGTATTTAATCGGACAATCAGACAGTGACAAATGGATAGGCAAAGGTCAAAGATATGGGGCAACCTCACAGCCTAGAATATTTCCAGGGTGCTCACTTTGCCCAAATTAGAGAAAGACTTTGAAGGAGGCAGGAAATAATTCTGGAAGGCCTAGATCAGTATGCTGCTTTAAGATGATCCAACTTTTTAAACAGAAGAAATGTGGATCGTTTTAAAAAGGCAGGCTGGTATATTTCTGTTTTGGATAATCAAGTTAGCAACGTGGCGGATGGCTACACTGAATGAAGCAAGCTGGTTAAGAGACCTTTACATTAACCCACAATTGAAATGGGGAAAGTCTTAACTGACACAATGGCCATGAGAATGTAAAGAGAGAGGCTCCCAACTTATTTGGAAAGCATAATTGATAGATAGTTTTAACCATCTGAGAACAGAAGTTTATAGAATATCTTTCTGATTTGGGGCTTAAGTGACTGAAGCACCATTTACTAACACAAAGATCATAAGAGAAACAAAAGGGGTGCAAAATTAGGGAAGGAGAAAATAATGAATTTGTTTTCAGATTTTTTAAGTTTTGGATTTTTCAAGTTCAGCAAAAATCTCAGTAGACTGGGCTCAGCACTTTTATACATGTTACTCTCATTTTATAATTGAGGACATTAAAACTAAGAGATCCTATGTGTGTTATCTTAAGGCTTTACAGCTACTATGTGGTAAGGAAAGGATTTTACTTCAATTCCTTGACTTGAAGCGCCATCCCTGCTACAGAACTGGCTGGACAGCTTTTTAAATTATACCTGTCTACCACAGTTTCTTTATCTGGAAAATAATGGTGGTATCTCTCCTTTTGATTATCTGAGATATATATTAGAAAGTTAAGATTTAGTAAATAAGGCAAAAATCTATAAAGTGAATATACTGGCTGGCCTTGATATAAGATCCTTTCGAAACCTAATCATCGGTGGGAAATATCTTGTCAAAAAACAAAATGGAAATGGTTGTGTGGCACTGCCCTACCATTCCACATTGATTCCACTTAATTAGGGGACCAAAAACCATGTCCATGTCTACATTGATAGAGGACAGTGGATATGGAGCATGAAAGGGACCAGATGGCTCTTAAAGTTGAATCGGCTACCTAGCAAGACATTGACTCTGAATATTTTCATTTCTCTCTGTTTCAGGCTGGCCTCTAATGCTCTTTTAATGTAGATTTTTATTTGTGCATTTCATGGGTTGTTATGTGAATCTGTTGCTGATGAGTATGTTGAATCTTAAGGCTTTTGTGAAAATTAGCATGATTCTTTGTAGTTAGGAATAACAAATATATTCCTTTTGATAGAAAGGAAAATTAAAAGCTTTTCTGGTTATCTTTATTCTTAAATTTTGCTCATATTGATTTATTTAGATGGTAATCATCACTAAACTTAAAAAGATTATATCAAATGAGAGCATGTTATATAATGTCTATTTTGCTCTTTGCTAGAAATGGACCATTACAATGCCAAAATGCATTATTGGAGTAACTTATTTTCCTGGTTTTCACCCTCCCCCACTCTACTGTGAAAAGATATGTTAGTGTATTCCTCTAAGGTCTTGCATTTTTAGAGATGATGAAAAAGAATTTGTCATGCATAACATAAAGCAGAAATATTATTTATCACTGAAGTTAGTAGAGGGTTGAAACATGTTTAATTGTACAGAGTATGCAGCAGTAAGTCAGCTTGTGGAATTTTAAAAAGTTGCATTTAGGTAGAAAGGATTTTGTTACTTGAAAGGTTTAAAGAATTTTAAGAAATCAATTGCATAGTGTTTATCAAAAGTGAATAGCTGGAGTTTAGGAGAACTGACTCACGGGTCATACTATCTGCGTTCAAAGGGTATCTCAATACCCCCTCACTACAGGGTGACCTTCAGTAACTCATTTATCTCTTTCTACTACTAATTCTTTAAGTGCAAAAGGAGGAAAATAATAGGCACCATCTTACAGGGCTATTGTGTTATAATTAAATGAATCAGTTTTTGTAAAGGTGTTAGAATACCGCTTGACTCATAATTAGCCTTCAATATAGGCTAGCTTTTATAATGATTTGAATGAATCTATTTTTCTACTTTTTGCTATAATAGTTATCAAATAACATTTATTATGTAAGCTCAGATTTTTCTAAATATGAAATGCCAGAAGGTCTCAATTATTTAGAACTCATCAGAAAATCAGAGAGCAAGAAAAAATGTGAGTAGCAAAGAGCTATCACAAACTCCATGCACCCAATTTGAAGTATATTAGCTATATAGGAAAGCCTAGCATGTTTAGGTCCAGGGCTATGCCACAAGAGATACAACAATAAACAAGAATCTTCTCCCTTAAGCAATTTGTAATCTAGTTGGAAAATAAATAAAAATAAATAGAGTGTTGTGTCTTGCAGGATTGTTTTTATGAGTGGATTACAAGAAGAGAGGGATCAAAGAAGGCATGTGAATGTTGGCAGAAAGGCAGACTTCCAGAAAGAAGCCCCATCATGTGGATCCACACTGCTGTTTCGTCATTTCTAAATTCACTTCTAGAATTATTCCCTCTAGACTAAGCCTCAGTCTCAGGCTATCTAACAGCTGAGGCCTCATTTCTAGTTATGTGTACTGCTGGACAGCACCGTTTCTTTCTTTTTTTTTTTTTTTTGAGATGGAGTCTTGCTGTGTTGCCCAGGCTGGAGTGCAGTGGCACGATCTCGGCTCACTGCAATCTCTGCCTCCCGGGTTCAAGTTATGCTCCTGCCTCAGCCTCCTGAGTAGCTGGGATTACAGGCACCCACGACCACACCCAGCTATTTTTTTTTATTTTTTTTAGTAGAGACGGGGTTTCACCATGTTGACCAGGCTAGTCTTGAACTCCTGACATCGTGATCCACCCGCCTCTGCCTCCCGAAGTTCTGGGATTACAGGTGTGAGCCACAGCGTCCGGCCAGCATCATTAATTTAATGAATATTTACTGAGCACCAACCAAAGTGAAGCACGGAAAGACGGCATCATGGACCTTTTAGTCTAGAGTTTTGAAAACAGTCACAAAATGAACAAAGCCGTACTGAGTTCTCTGAATAAACTAAAACAGGGTATAATAATAGTGTGTGAGTGACAGAATCCATTGTATTTTGCATGGCCGTGAAAGTGCGCTCAGAAGATACGACCTGGGTGGATGAGCAGCAGCAGGCAGCCTGGGAGGGTCTAGCAGCAGAGCGCTCCGGGAAGAAGGAAGCACAACAGCGAGGGCCTGAAGGCAGAAAGTTTGGAAACTGCTAGGAGAAAGCCTCTCAGAGCGAGAAGGTTTGTGAAGAAGATCTGGAAGGTGGATATGAGACAAGATTTAGAACTTGAGGGTCAGTTGCTAAGAGAAAAAGGATAACGTGGGGGTTTGGGAGTGATATGGCTTGGATTTTGGCCCCTCCCAACTCTTGCAATCCGGGTTTGGGAGGCGGGGCCTGGTGGGAGGTGATTGGATGATGGAGGCGGACTTCCCCCTTGCCTTTCTCGTGATAGTGAGTGAGTTCTCACGAGATCTGCTGGTTTAAAAGTGTGTAGCACCTCTCCCTTCACTCTCTTTCTCCTGTTTGGCCGTGTACCAAGTTCCTGCCTGTCTTCTGTCTTCACCCGTGACTGTAAGTTTCCTGAAGCCTCCCCAGCCATGCTTCCCATACAGCCTGCAGAGCCATGAGACAACTAAACCTTTTTACTTTATAAATTACCTGGTTTCAGGTATTTCTTTATAGCAGTGTGAGAGCAGACTACTTACTACAGGGACGAAAATAGATGTCCAATTCGTGTTTTAAAAAGAGTTCTTCAGGTGCTATGGGAATGGAAAGCAGGGGCCTCAGGCAGCCGCTGGGAAAAGAATTCAGAGGCTACTGCATGATGGGGGTCAGGTGTGGTGGCTTCAACGGACATGAAGAGAAATAGATGATGCTAGAATGAATTTTGGAAGTAGAGCTCACAGAATTTGCTGATTGAGTAGATGTGAGAATGTGAAAAAGACAGGAATTGAGCCAACTCCTAGGTTTCTGGGAGGTAAGATAGACTATGCTCCCACGATGGGATTCCAAGAGAAAAAAACGTACTCAGGGAGGGAAATAAAGATTTCTCTTTTAGCCCTTTCAAGTGTGAGGCACACATCGCCATTTCAGTGGCAATGTGGCATAACATGCGTTCATAACAGAGCGACTATATGTTTCTCAACCTCATTACTATAGACTTTTTCGCCCAGATATTTATTTGTTCTGGGGGCTGTCCTGTGCATGTCTGCATTGTAGGATATGTCACAGCACCTCTTGCCTCTGCCTACTTAATGACAGTGTCTCCCCCACCCAGTTGTGAAAACCAAAAATGTCTCCAGAAATGGCTGAGTGAGGGCAAGGCAGTGAGCGAAATTGCTCAGGATTGAGAATCACTGGGCTGCAGAAACAAATTTAAATGTAAAAATACAGATGGAATTTGGCACCAGAATGTGGATGATCTCACCTATGGAAAGATAAAAAAGAGTAGAGGGTTCACACTAGGGGACTTCACAATTAGAAAGAGAACAGAGGCTCCAGCAGAGGAGACAATCAGGCAGGGATTCCAGCTGATGAGTGCGGTGGGCTGGGTGGGAGTCCTGGAGGAGAAGTTGCCAGCAGGAGGGGGTGAGCATGTGTGGCTCACATGAATGAGTTTGATTAGGTAAACCAGGACAGAAAAACAATCACTTCAAGATCTGTATCAAAAGAGAACTCTTCTAAAGAAGCCGCGAGACAGTCTCCACATGAACATTGCTGTAACCATAAATCATTTTTGCAGGACATTTGCTTGGACAAGGGTCTGACAATGGCTAAGAGTTAGTTGCTTATAAGCTCTTCCTTAATATGATTAGCTTCATTTGAATTTAGTACACAAGGGGCTGGCTGCAGGTGAGGATGGATGAGAACTTCCGCCCATGGATTTGCACAAGAGGTAGAAGTACCTCCAGGGAGCAAAGGGGCATGGACCTGAAGCTCCCACCTGCCTCCTCCTTACCATTGAATTGTAATGCTTTACCAATATCTGCACTGCCAAAGATCAAGGCCAGATTGCAAAAAAAGACAAAGTGTTCATGCAAGGAAACTTATCATGCAGGTGGAAGGACTCCAGACCAGCAGACTGGTCTCTGCTCTGAGGGCAATGCATCACAGAGGAGTGCCACTCTGGACCTAGCCTGTTTCTGACACTGAAAACTTTCTTGCCAGCCATGCTGATCCTGCAAACATTTGGAGAGGGGTTGCCATGGACATGAACTGGAGAAGCTGTATTTCCAAAATGCTATAGCACCCAAGATTCAGCCACATATGGCAGTGCTTTCCTGGCTTATTAAAAAACCAAGTCAGGAAAGGGGCAGAGAGAGCCCTGCCAAGCTCCCAACCCCAAAAGCATTGTGATGGAAATGAAATCACAGCACAAGGGCCTGGCAATAGAAAGCTTTAGAGGCACTGTGACTAGGTGCTTTGGTGGCAATTGCACTTTAGCCAGTAACAATGGCAGCAACTTTAGACTTCCAAGACCACCATAAGGAGTGACTGATCAGATCTTCAGTTACATCATGGCTATTTTAGCAGTGACACTTGAGACAATGAAGCAGAGACAAGCCAGCAGATTCATACAGGAGGAATTGGAGAGGGCAGGGAGGTGAGAGAAGACAGAAGCTGAAGAATTCAGCCACAGAAGAGCTAATGAATTTATATATATATATAATTCCTGCAGAATTAACTGTGCTGGGTCAGGGGATATATAGATTTATAATTTCAATTAATAATTTTAGTAGACACTGATAGATTAAACTTTTAGTAACTTACAATAATACATAAGCCCACTTATGAATTAATAATAACAATTTCTCTAAATATTCACCAGCTCTAGATTTAAATGATCTTTAATTTTGGCAATCTGATGGGTTTAAAAAAAGTTTTCTCATTGTTGCTCTAAATTGTAATTTATGTTCACTAGTGAAGACAAAATAGACATAGGCTCTTTGTACTTACTATTCTATAAAACATCTATTCGTATTCTTTCCTTATTTTTTTTTGTGAGAATATTGGTCCATGTATTAGTGTGTTCAAATGCCACTATAAAGAACTGCCTGAGACTGAGTAATTTAGAAAGAAAAGAGGTTTAATTGACTCACAGTTCTACAGGGCTGGGGAGGCCTCAGGAAATTTGCAATCATGCCAGAAGGGGAAGCAAACAAGTCCTTCTTCACATGGTGGCAGGAAGGAAAAGAATGATTGCCCAGTGAAGGGGAAAGCTCCTTATAAAACCACCACATCTCCTGAGAACAAACTCACTATCACAAGAACAGCATGGGGGAAACTGCCCCCATGATTCAATCATCTCCACCTGGTGTCTCCCATAATCTGTGGGGATTATGGGAACTACAATTCAAGATGAGATTTGGGTGGGGACACAGCCAAACCATATCAGTTCATTTCACATGTATTTATAGGAACTCTTTTTATATTAGGGGCATTATTCTTTGTCATATTTCAAGATATCATCCTATTTAATATAGGTGTATTTCTGCAAAACAATTTACATATTCCCGTAAATCACTGATGCTTGTCTGATAACACTTCTCTGAAAACCCAAAATTTAGATGACTCCCTTGTGAAAGTCTGAATGTACAACCCCTAGAAAAGACTGACATTCCTATTAGTAGGACAGGTAGGGACTTTGAATTATGAAAATATATATTATTAATATGATTTTTTTTCATAACATGATTAGGAAAAAAGTGACCACCTGTTTGTTTTAGGATAAGGATCTAGCTCATCATTCCTTTGCTTTGAAAGACAGTTGGGTCTTTCTAAACCATCATGAGTTTCTTCATTTAAGGTAGATTTCCCAACCAAAAGATAATCCCTGAGGTGCTATTAGTTGTTGGAATAAAAAAAAGTCTGTGGTTAAATATATTTGGAAAATATTTTGTATTTTTATAAAAGTTTTTATTAAAAGATTTCACCAGTACTTTTAAATACTAATGTTCATTATGAATCACTTAGAGAAACCTGAATGTGCAGAATTCCCAAGATTATTGAACTACAGCCCTTCGAGGTTTCTTTTTTCCGACTAGTTTTTTTCCAGCGATAGTATTTCATGAAACAACATTTTTGATGAATGCTGACTTCAGGAACTATCTTCACACTTCTTTGCAAATGAATGGCTTTCCTTGTATTTGCCTTAGAACTGCCATCTTGTCACCACAAATCCTTCAGAGGCAACAGCAAACCTTGTATAAAATTACTAGGGAACATTTTTGAAAAGATTCATAAATTCAGTACAAGGTTTGAGTTGAGTTGGCACAACCTAAATGTAGTTAGACATTGTACAGTAAAGTAAAAAATAAAGCTCAGTGTTTTTGATTTTTCTTGTGTGTGGGTAGGGTGGAGGGGTTTGCCATATCTCTATGAAGGTTATAAGAAGGGGCCACTCCTTTAACCCAAACAACATATGAAGAGATATGTGCAGAAAGATGGGAACTTAACACTTTCTGAGATGCCTTTACTAATTAGGTAGAGCTAAAACAGAACAATATAATTATAATATTTTAAAAATATTTTAGTATAATTTTGCTTATATTTATGATGAATTTTACTTACATTTAACTGTTTTGGAAGCATCACATTTTTACAAATTTATTCGTTCTAATTTCTCAGGACATACCCTGATTTCCTTTGTTGTTACTCAATATAATTTTAAAATTTAGTTTGGTTTTGCCCACCTTTATATGTTCATGAAGAGTAGAGGTAAAATTATAAGAGATATATTGGTTGAGAGAATTACCATAAATCATCTATATTGACATGACTGGCTCATCATGCAATTAATTAGAAGGTAATATTGATAAAATATAAGTAAATGATGGCTAATTACTCCTGAATTCCTATGCTTACCATTTTACCCATGGTTTTTAATAACTACTGGTTCTTCACTGTTCAGCACATAGGAACATTTCTTCTAAAAATGCAGACTTATGCACTGCCTATTAAAGTTATTGCCAGCATCTCAGAAACTGAAGTAAATGCTTTCACAAATAGCATTTCCAATGAATAATGCTGAAATCAGACTTTTTTTTTTTTTCCATTGCAAGTGCCTCAAGTAGTTGGCTCCTTTCCCACCGGCTACTTTGTAACTGCGAATATGACAACATGACGGTGATTCACAGATGCCAAAATATGACGAGCAGAGCAAATCTGTGTTCCAGATATGATAAGGTGAGAAAAGCGGAACTCTCGGCCCCAGGTGATTTCCATGAAGACACCTACATACGGCGGGCCTCACTATCTGTACCATGCAGCCGCCAACTCTAATAACCTGGCCAGGAGAGAAACACATCTAAAAATGCAAATGAATGAAAAAAATAAAACTGGGTTGCATAGTAACATCTTAAGCAGATTTGAGAGATGTATGTTTGAAAAGCATAAGCTTCAGCCTTGGAAAATGCTTTCTGTTGTATTCAACACATATTGGGCTAGAACTAAGAAAAATACATAGAAATTATGAATGCCTTTAAAAGTCCCTTCTCCAATCCACCAACCTTATAAACAATGCAATATTGAGTGAAATAACAGCCTGTTTCTTATTTTTATCGTAATATTTGGAACCTTATTTTAAATATACATATGCTTTATAGATTATAGTTACACATCATTGGAACAGAGAAAATAGATTGTGAACATGCGTCTTAGAAAGACCAGCTACACAATCATATAAACCACTTCTCATTCTTGCACCGCAGCACTCAGGAATAATATAATTACAAATTATACAAGACTGTTTTTACTGGTTGTACATATACATTTTGTATATTGAACTCATACATTCTGACTTCTGCCAAGCCTGATTGGCAATTTAACTGATGTGAGCTCATTTACTGGCAGAATTTATACTTAAAGTCAGTGTTTTCCATGTCCAGTCCAGAAGAGGCTTTTATTAGACAAAAGATAATGTAGATAAATATTATAGTAACTTTACCAGCATGAGAAAATTAAAGGTATTTTTATGTCAGATGATGATTTCTAAATATATTGTTTAAAATAAATGTGAGAAAAATAAGAATATATATTTTTCTTTTTTAATAAATGAGAAAAAGATTTGATAAGAAAAAATAAGAAAAAAGAAAATAAGAAAAAAAATTGTCAATGTTTCTTCTAATGCATACCTTAATGGTATTACTTGGATGTATCTGCGTATGTTAAGCAACAGTGCTATTTTTGAAAACTACATAGTATAGGAAAATAAGAGTTGTAGCATAGACGGTTTTCAAGCAGTTTCTTGTCAGTTTGTATGGCAAGCTACAGATGAACTGCAGAGTATTTACAGATGTTAAGCTCTCTGAGAGGAGACTTGTTTGTTTACCATTGCATTTCAACATTTAGTACAGTGCCAAACATGCAGTAGGTGTTCAGTAAACATTTGTGGAATGAATTCATGAATAAATTGAGAATTGAAGTCGATTTTGGAAGACGAGGCCTAATCAAAATATTTTGCAAACTACCCAAGTCCAGCAATCAATATTAAATATAAACTACCTTTTGCCTCACTGTATACATTAAGGTTCTTTTTGCAAAGAATTGCTCAAAATGTTTCCTCATCAATTTCCTCCTTTTTTAGGGTGACATGAAGGAAGAAAAAGAACCTATTATCATGTAAAAACCATACTATGGAAAGCGATTTCATAAAAAGTGGAATTCTGTAATATAATGCTACTTATTCACCACATTCTATTGATAAAGGCTTGGTCCCTACCTCACGGTATCTCTTCCTCCCTGCCAATATGGCATCCAGAGCAATGATAGGACAGAAACATGTTCATTTCAACATTCACCCACACACACTTTACCATTTCTGACAACATGCCTTGATTCTTTGAATGCTTACTATATTCCAAGCACACACTACATTCTGTACACATATAATCTCATTGAAGTACATGCTGTTATTATCCCTGTTATACAAATAAGAAACTTAGGCTCAGATAGGTAAGTAAATTACCCAAGGTTATATAAAAGAAAGTGGTGGGACATTTATTAAACAGTCAGAGAAAAATAATTCTATCTAGCTTCTTAGCTACATAGCATTAAGAAGCCTTATAAAGGAGTAAACCAAAGGCAAGAGAAGGACTAAATTGAGAAAGAGACTAAGAAAGATACAGACTAAAGAATGTGTACTGGATTTCTAGATTAGGAATGCAAAACAGTTTCAAAGGAGTATTTGGAAGAAGCCAGGTAGCAATGCATTGAGCAATTAATGAATAGTGAGAAGGCAAATAAAATGGATTAGCCACCTGGGAGAGTAAGGAGATAAATTTGGTTATGTGTAGAGGAGAAGGGGAGAAATATATCTGGTTACTAGAAGAATGATCTAGGTATGTTTTTAGCCTGAGAAGCAACAGATTGATTTAGGAGACAGATTCCTCTTAGGGTATGGGATGGAGAGCAGTCTATAGATTCAAATGAGATCTGTCTGTAGATGCAGAATAAATCAGAATGAAATGCACATTTCATACACAAATGTTGGCCTTGCATGTATACATGCTATAATTGTCTATATTCATCGCATATATAAATATTTATTAAATAATGCAGGGCCGCCAATATTTATGGCAATTTATTCAGTCATGAGCAGTGAGCAGTGATAAAGGCACGTGCTTGGTTCCTGTAGTGGGGCCCAGAGACCAAAGGCTCAAACCTGACCTTAGGAACCTTGGCGCCTAGCAGACAACACAAGAGAGATTTGCTTCAATCCATGACAAGCTTCATTATTCTGAGTTTATGTAGGAGGAAGACCTAAGCCAGTGGGAGGGAAGAGGTTTTCTAAAAGAGGTACAAGAAGTTGAATATTACAGTTAAATTTTAATACTTAAATAAACATACACATAGGTGTTGGATGTATTTATACATATGTAGATACATGTACACTCTATCAGTGTTGAGTTTCAGAACCAGAGAACATCATAGAAACCATATTTGAAACAATGATCTCTAAGTGATGGGAAGGCTTATAAAATAATCACAATACAACTTTCTTAGTTTTTAAATATAAATAGACACAGACATATTTTGAGTATTTTCTTTTTCAATTAGAGAATTATTCAGAAATTATGAAATTTGAAGTCATATTGCTTAATAACTACTTTGAATGATTATTTTTGAGAACCAAAATTACGAGAAAAAAATTGCAGTATAGATAGAATGAAATTAAGGTCCTTCGGAGCAAATGTCTTACCAGATAAATGTAAAATAATAATAGTATAGAATGAAATTAAGGTCCTTTGGAGCAAATGTCTTACCAGATAAATGTAAAATAATAATAGTAGAAACCATGTAGCATTTATTCCTCACAATATCACTGGGTGGGATAATATTATTACTAGCATTTTACAGATGAGAAAACTGAAGACTAAGAAGTTAATGAGCTGGCCTCTTTAACCCAATAGTAAATGTAATACTACCTGTATTAAGGACAACTCTGGGAATATATCATCACATAATTTGAAAGGTTAAGATGGAATAAATAGACCAGACATGGTGGCTCATACCTGTAATCCTAGCACTTTGGAGGCCAAGGCATGTGGATCATTTGAGTCCAGAAGACTGAGACCAGCCTGGGTATTATTTTGTAGAGACTCCACCTCTACAAAGAAAAAAAAAAAATAGCTGCATATGGTGGCACACATCTGTGGTCCCACCTACTTGGGAAGCTGAGGTAGGAGGATCGCTTGATCCCAGAAGTTTGTGACCAGCCTGGGCATCACAGTGAGGCCCCCATGTCTACAAAATAAAAAAAAAAAATAGCCTGGTGTGGTGGTGTGCACCTGTGGTCCCACCTCCTTGAGAAGCTGAGGTGGGAGGATCACTTGAGGCCAGGAGGTCGAGGCTGCAATGAGTCATGATCCTGCCATGGTGGGCAGTAGAGTGAGACTCTGTCTCACACACAAAAAAGGGACAAATAAAATACTATTGGATAACAAAAGAAATCTTAATATTAACAAGTTGATCAAAGTATCAAAACACATAAAAGTTTCCAACAGGTTTAATTCTGAACACACAGAAGCACACAAATGTAAAAGCTATCAGATTAATTTCCATGAGACTAAAATATACGACCTCACATTTGAATGCAACATGGAATCCTGGTTGGTATCATGCTGAGACAGTTCTTGTTTGGTTTTGGTTTAATTTTCTTTGAGATATTGATTGTTACATCATCTACATCACCTCATAAGATACAGACTTTTAATATTAATATAATATACTTACTAATTCAATACAAAAAAGAGATATCATTAATTTAGAAAACATAAATTTTTAATATCCCAATGTAAGTTACGATGCCAAAGTAGCCCAAAGGAAAAAAGAAAAGTACAATTGTGGAGTGAAGTCTGTGTGGAAGATACACCCCATGGAAGCCTTTCATTTGATTGGATTTACAGTGTAATTACTTTGCAAGTAAAGAAAAGTACAGATTCCTCCCTTTCACTTACTCTCTCTCCCTGCTACTCTCTTTCTCTATAAAAGCATGTGAACTTTAAGTTGATCTAAAAGAACGTCTGAAACATTGAAAACTTTGCATGCTACTTAATATTAAAAACTGCTCCTGAGAGACGTCTATGTCAAATTTCACCTTTGGCTACGATATTATAAAATCCAATATTAAAATCATTACAATGAGCATGTGCATGGAGGGGGAACTAGTGTGTGGTGCAAGGGAAATAATTAGGAAATACATTTTGGGATCAGATTAGAGAGTCCTTCAGTGCCAGTCTAAGAATTTTCTGCTTTATTCAAAAAACCGTAGGAAGCCACTGCAGGTTTTTGAGCTAGATGACATGGCCAATGTCATGCTTCAGAAAGGAAAAGTTGACAGCAGTGTTTGGAGCCTTCAGAAAAGAGAAAAACTAGAAACTGAGAGATTAGGAAGCCCATTAAGCTGTGCACTAAATAGTGCATAGTTTCTCTCATTATTGATAGAAAGTAGATTTCAGATCATTTACATCGTTTTGAAAATTCCTCATTTAAAAGTTGTGCCTAACAGTTTTCTCTCAATGATAGAGGTCATATGACTATGTGAATTAAAGAAGATGTCTCGAGAAGTAATGAAGTTAAAGCATATTTTAAACAAAAAATGTGCTTAGAGGTTATTTTAAAAAGAGAGACAGAAAGAGAGTGAGACTGTCAGAATCCTGTGAAAACTTGCCTACTTGCACTGAAAGATTACCCTCTAGTGAATTGCCTTCAGGCTGCATTTTCAGAAATTATATTCTAGTAGTGGTCAATTTTTCAACCCAAAGGGTGATATTTCTCTCCATAAATTTGATTCCCAGTCAATATTTCTTACACATAATATGATCTAGGTACTTCACAGTTAAAAATAACCAAGGTTAAAATGTATCATAAATACATAGCATCATTAAACATCGGCCACATAAGGTGAGTTCTAGGTGTTTCACTGTTGAAGCTAAGTGTGTTACAGGCCTACTTGTCACTCTTTATTCTTAGAAAATTTCAACAAATAAATAGTGAAGCCCATTATTTACAGCTCCCGCTGTCAGAAGCTGCCATTCTTATCCCTATCCAAATAAGAGAATGTGCTACTTATTTTTGTAAGAGGATGTGGCCACTTTTATAATGCCCAAACATGATGTAATTCCAGTGAAGTTGATGGAATGCAGGTAGATTGTAAAGATATGAATGTCTAGGTTCATTCCAAATGCATGATAATTTCCTGGGTATCATTTATTTCTAAATGTTTAATAAACCTGTACACTCTTTTCCCCGATTATATGACAGTTCAAACGGTTTCAGACTGGATTCTAGCACACCGCTTTGCAGCACATGAGTGTCTTGCAATTGGGTGAAAAGCTGACACAATCTGATGTACAGAAAGTGGTCATGTGATAGCAGTCCACTCTCATCTTTCTAATCCACTCATTCACGTCGGGGCAGTCACTCATTCAACTGACTTCAATCTTTTTTTCTTTGCTACAGGAGACTCCCTTTAAGTCTCTAATTCTTACTTTCCACTCAACTTTTTTATTTAAAACTTAATACACAGCATTTAACTTGTTGGTATTGCTTTGAACTCAAACTTCTGATCAATAGAGTTCATTCCCTTCCCACCAACCCTTCACACCCAGAAACTGATGCTTCCTCATTATACTGGTGATGTCTAGAAATGTTGAGTTACCTGTGTCTGTGATCCTTTTTTTTTTTTAATTAAAAAAATAAGGGGGGTGCTGGGTGCGGTGGCTCACGCCTGTAATCCCAGCACTTTGGGAGGCCGAGGTGGGTGAATCATGAGGTCAGGAAATCGAGACCATCTTGGCTAACACGGTGAAACCCCGTCTCTACTAAAAATACAAAAAAAATTAGCCGGGCTTGGTGGCGGGCGCCTGTAGTCCCAGCTACTCGGGAGGCTGAGACAGGAGAATGGCGTGAACCCGGGAGGCGGAGCTTGCAGTGAGCACAGATCACGCCACTGCACTCCAGTCTGGGCTACAGAGCGAGACTCTGTCTCAAAAAAAAAAAAAAAAAAAAAGTGTAGAGACATAGTCTTTCTAAGTTGCCTAGGCTGGACTGCAGTGGCATGATCATAGCTCACTGCAGCCTCAACCTCCTGTTCTCAAGTGATTCTCCAGCCTCAACCTGCCAAAGTGCTGGGATTACAGGCAGGAGCCACTGCACTCAGCAAAGACTCTGCTCTTTTATCACCTAAGTCCAGAGCACCAAGTATTGTGAGTCCTTCCTTTGCAGATTCCATTTGATTTGCTTCTTTCCTTTCCATTTTAACAATGAGATTTTATATACTAGCTCATAATCTAAACAACTGATCAGAACAAAAGCCTTGGAGCTGCTTTCCTGGCCTCCGTCCCTCTCACTCTGTCCACCCTGCTTGGTGTTATGCCACTAGTTTTATCCTGACTGCCCTGTTCAAGAATCTAACCTAGTTGAAATCTGTCCATGCATAGTTGTCAATGGTACACACAAAGGGTCCTTTTACTCAGGAGAATGGCTTTGCATGAATAGTGATGACAAATGTGTTATGAATTCGGATTTATTACTAACATTCGATTCGAAGCCAAAGGAGGAAAAAAAAAAAACCAGTATTAATGGACATTTCCTAATGAATCCGTAGGCTTTTAGTACCTGTTGATTGTTCTGGTTAAAGGTAGTTTCCCAGTCACATTTTCTTCCATTTAATAGCTAATGGGGCAGTTTAGAAGTCTGTAGTAGACTTCGCTTTTAGATGCTCATTGCTATAGTTCAGGAGGAAAAAATGAAAATGGAAGTGATTGTTGGGAATGGAAACTTCCCCCCCTTTTTTTTTTCTGAGGGAGAAACCTTTTTATGAATGGTAAGATTTTTTTTTGTCCATTTGCTTTTTCTCTTGAATAAAATTCCTTTTAAAATCTGATCTACATGTTCACTTTTTAAAATCTCAATGCTTTATTTTCAGTCAACTTATTAACAAAGTACAGCTCCAGGGGCTCTGTCCAGCCAACAATTTTATTTAATCACAAATTATAAATGTATATTTGGTATATGCATCACCCCCAACGTTTTAATAAATCAGCAATGGCTTCTGCCCTCTAAGAGCGCATTGTCTATACATCAATAATGATCAGGCTTTACTGAGCATGTCATGATGTGCAGATACTGTGCTCTGTGATTTATCTATAGTATCTCATTTAAGACTCACAATAACCAAGCTTTACAGATGAGGAAACTGAGAACGAAAAACAAACTTGCCAAAAGACACATGAGTAAATTTTGAAATGAGAATTTTTATAGAATCTTCTCTGACTTCAAAGACCAGAAATATAACCTCCATGAAACACTGTATTCCCATGCTTCCTGTAATATAACACTTACCGAACTCAATTATGGAAAACTATCTGTATTCTCTTCTATTCCCTTGCTAAATATGAACTTCTTGAGGAAAGGATTTAGCTTATTAATCTTTAGTTTCAACAACACAATGTAAGACCCATCTAGCAACCAGTTAAATATGTTTGAACTGAACTAAGTACATTTTCTGAAATAGGATAGAGAATGCATATTCTTACAGGAAGAAACACAATACTTCATAGGTTAAACATATGATGTCTTAAGTAATCATTTATAAAACGTATTTCAAACGATTTGATCATGGAATACCACAAATTGCATTTTGCTGGGAGCTGACCATCACTGTTTTCTCTCTGAGAGGCAGAGTTCAAGAGCAAACCCCAGGGGCCAGTGTTTTACTAGCTGTGTGACAGGGGAACCCTCACTAGAATCATTTCATGGCTCATTTTCTTCATGTGTAAAACAGAAATGATGATAATAAAATGTTTACATAGATTTCATATGAGAATTACATCAATTAATTTATTAAAAAGCACTTAGGTCAGTGCCTGGCTTACTGCTAACAGTAGATGTTAGCTATTCTTATTACTTAGGCATAACATACAGCAGATCGCAAACATTTCAGTCTCAGATGGCTTTTATTTTGATTTACATATTCTTAGAATTATTGACTACCCAATAACTTTAATTTATTTAAGTTATACCTATTGTATTTACCATATTAGAAATTAAAACTGAGAGGATATAAAAAGATTTAATTAATTTAAAAGTAATATGAATAATCCCATACATGTTGACATAAAAATGATTATGAAAAATAACATTTTTAAAATAAAAGCATAGTGAGGGAAGAAGGCATTATTTTATATTTTTTGACGTCAGTTTCTACATTGCAATATAATATTGTAGCCTCTGGAAAACTCACTGTACACTGATGAATGAAAAAGGCAAATCACATCTTAGCACTATTAGTGGACATAGTTTTGAGCTTTTAGGACTCCCTAAAAGGAGATACAGAAACCCTAAGGTTCCCAAGACCAAACATGGAGAAACTGTTTTATAGAGAAGCTTCCGCAAGTAAATCTCATGTTTTTGAACACTGATGTTTACTGACAGCTCTTATTATTTCAGTGTGTATCCAATTGTGCATATTCCAACTGGTTCGAGGGTAGAATATTGTTTATTTTGGAAAGAAAACATACAGTTTTCTTCTCATTAAGACAAGAAATCCTAAGGTAAACAACCTTTCCCTCTAACCAGCTCCAGTGTGGTCTCTGCAGCTTCCCTTGACCCTGCTTTACAGCATGGATGTGCCTGGAGCCAGCTTGGGAAGCACAGAGTTTAAAACTAAATGAAAGAAAATTGGATTTCCCGTCGACTGCTTTCCTAGGAAACACTCTCAGGAGACACAATACATGTGGAAAAAAAAGGAAAAATCTTTTCATACAGTGCGTTATTTACAACATTTGGCTAAAAGTGTTCTGAATACTTTAGATTTAAAAAACCGATGATGCAAGGTAAAACAGACTATAAAATATTTTAACTGACAAATACATAGTTCCAGGGAATTATTTTTAAATTTTATGAAAAGAAAAAACATTTTGATATCTACCAAACTCAGGATGAAGTTTCTCACTTTTCAAGATTCTACTAAATTAGAGTATCATGGTTTTCCATAAAACAAACAAACAAAAAGCATCCCTTATGTTTTAAACTCTAAATATCAAAAATATCATTAATTTGTTTTTAAAAATTTACAAGAAAAGGGACATATGAGATTTTTAGCGCTGAACACATCTGGCCAGTGTGTTTTATTAAAAAAATAAAACAGCCAGCTGGGCGCAGTGGCTCATGCGTGTAATCCCAGCACTTTGGGAAGCCAAGGTGGGCAGATCACGAGGTCAGGAGTTTGAGACCAGCCTGGCCAGCATGGTGAAACCTTGTCTCTACTAAAGATACAAAAAAAAAAAAAACTTAGCTGGGCGTGGTGGCACATGCGTGTAATCCCAGCTACTCTGGAAGCTGAGGCAGGAGAATGGCTTGAACCTGGGAGGCGGAGTTTGCAGTGAGCTGAAATCTTGCCATTGTACTCCAGCCTCAGCTGCAGGGCAAGATTCTGTCTCAAAATAATAATAATAATAACAATAATACTAACTAGTTCGATAATGTCTCATTAGTCTTTATCTTCAAATCTCCTAAAACAAGATTTAGTATAATGTCAGTAATAATGGTAATGATATTTATTTAGTGATTACTATGTGCTAGATACCGTCCTAACGACTTCACACACATTTACCAACGAACACATTTACCCTTCATGATAGGTGTTACTAATTTCATCTTACAGATGGGTTAACTGAATAAGGAATAATTTAAGGCTGGGCGTGGTGGCTCACACCTGTAATCCCAACACTTTGGGAGGCCAAGGAGGGCAGATCAACTGAGTTTGAGACCAGCCTGGCCAACATGGCGAAACCCCGTCTCTACTAAAAATACAAAAATTAGCTGGGCTTCGTGGCACATGCCTGTAATCCCAGCTACTTGGGAGGCTGAGGCAGGAGAATTGTTTGATTACGGGAGGCAGAGGTTGCAGTGAGCTGAAATTGTGCCATTGCACTCCAGCCGGGGCAACAAGAGCGAAACTCCATCTCAAAATAATAATAATAATAATAATAATAATAATAATAATAATAATAATAATTTAAGTAAGTTGTTCAAAGTCACAGAGATCTTATGTTTGGAGCTAGAGTTTGATCCCCAGCAGCCTCTAAGTTAGAACCTGGATTCTCTACTGGTATGTCACATTTCCATACTTGGTAAATATTTGTTGCAAGAGAGATCATGAATGGTGTGGTTAAGTTTATGTCATCTTTTTCTTAAAATTTTAATGTAAACTTGGTTTTCTGTATAATTTATAAAAGAAAATGTATGTTTCATTGGCAGAATAGCAATTGGATTTGGCAAACAATAAGAAGACAAAAATGACACCCTACAGGGAGCCTAACCAGTTGGTAAATACTTGAATGAGCTGAGAGCCAGGAAATTACCCTGCATTTCTAATCCCATGAATTAAGCACATGTTTATGACACAACTTTATATATTATTTAATGTTAAATTCCTCCAACTTTTCTCTCTCTCTCTCTCTCTCCCCCCCCTCCCTCTTTTGGGATAGGGTCTTGCTCTGTGTCCCAGGCTGAAGTGCAGTGGCACAATCATAGCTCACTGCAGCCTCAACCATTCAGGCTCAACAATCCTCCGACTTCAGTTTCCCAAGTAGCTGGTACTACAGGCACATGCCACCACACCCAGCTAGTTTTTTAATTTTTTGTAGAGGTAGGAACTCTTGATGTTCCCCCGGCTGGTCTCAAACTCCTGGGCTTAAGCAATCCTCCAACCATGGCCTCCCAAAGAGCTGGAATGACAGACATGAGCCACTCCACTTGACCTTCTCTCATTTTTTTTTAATATTGTTAAATAATCAGGATGTAACAAAAAATGGTCCTCCTGTAATCCTGGCACTTTGGTAGGCCAAGGCAGGAAGATTGCTTGAGGCCAGGAGCAATGTTTTCAAACAGAAGGCTGTTTGAAAACAGCCTGGGCAGCATCGGGAGACCCAGTCTCTCTATAAAGATTTTTTAAAAATAAAAATTAAAAATGTTCTTAATCACATGGATATTTCTAATTAAGTTAATTAGTAATTTAATAGTATAATCTATTCCTGTATCCATTTAAATTTAGAAGTTTTTAAGTCTTTGACTTTTCAACTAAAAATTATCTAGTCACTAGACAATTCACTAGTCAGCTTCACTTGAATTTCCCACTGGAAGCTGTTTTTTTTTTTTTTCTAACATTTCTACAGTTAAATCAATCACTTTACTCACCACCTTATTCCTCTCCCTCTATGCCAGTCTCCAAGAATAGTGCCAACTTTGAAAGACTTGGCCCTGCCAGAGACTTGGGAGTCTTCTGAGATGGGTTCCTACCACCTCACTCTCCCAATCCAGTTAGCTGCCAAGTCACCAGTTTACCTTTTCAATAGCTATAAATATATCACTCTTGCTCCACTGCCACTGTCTGAGCTATGCTCTGACCCCCATCATCTTCCCCTGTATTACTCAAGCAGCCTCATAGCTGGTATCCACATCTCCATTCTGTCTTCCCTCCAACTCTTCTCCAGGCTGAGGCTGTCTATCACCAGGCATCATCTTCCCAAATTAAAAATCTGATCATGTCCCACCTTGTTGAAAATCTTCAGTGGCGTTCAGTTTTCATGGGGTGAAATTAAAACTGCTTAACATGATATACAACATCAAATGCAATCTGCTCTAGCCTACCTTTCTCTGTTCAGTTTTAACCAATTTCCTCTCCTCTCTGAAACTCGGAACCTCTTCTCTAGCCATTCTGTAGCTTTGGGAAAGTACAATGTATACCCCACATACTATCTTTGTTTATGCCTGGAATTTAGTCACCCAATTTCTTCACCAGCTCCTACTCATTTTTTTTTTTTTTGCAATATATCTGCTCTAGAAGCTTTCTCTAACTTTTTCCTATTCCATTGCCTTTATTCTTTCTGCAGAGTGATATCAGGGGCCACACATCCCCATGGCAGGCAGTGCTTAGCTTGGCATAGGGCTTCTCACTCTGTTTCCTCACCTGCTTTCTGCATGTACTGTGAAGGATAGAAGCATGCTCTTTTTTTTTTTTTTCCAAGACTGAGTCTGTCTCTGCTGCCCAGGCTGGAGTGCAATGGCGCAATCTCAGCTCACTGCAACCTCCGCCTCCTGGGTTCAAGCGATTCTCCTGCCTCAACCTCCCGAGTAGCTGGGACTGCAGGCGCATGCCACCACACCCAGCCAACTTTTGTATTTTTAGTAGAGACGGGGTTTCACCATGCTGGCCAGGATGGTCTCGATCTTTTGACCTTGTGATCCACCCGCCTCGGCCTCCCAAAGTGCTGGGATTACAGGCATGAGCCACCACGCCCGGCCAACATACTCATCTTTGCATCCTCAGTACCCAGCACAGTGCCCAATCTATCATAGGCATTCAATAATTACATGTTTAACAAAAGTCAATATTATAAAGAAAAATAGAATTGCTTTTTTCCTGGTCTTATGCTTCAATAAATAAACTGTTATGTTGCCTAGGTAGTAATATGTTTTTACTAGCTTAATTACTGACTCTAACTTTGAATTCCTAAACAGTTTCAAATGATAACTGTTTGAATAGGAAAATCATAACTAATTTTTTTTTTCTTTGAGACAGGGTCTCACTCTGTCACCCAGGCTGCAGTGAAGTGCTGGGATTTCAGCTCATTGTATTCTTGACCTCCCCAGGCTCACTTAATCCTCCCACCTCAGCCTCCTGAGTGGCTGGGACTACAGGTGTGTGCCACCATGCCTGGATAATTTTTGTGCTTTAGTAGAGACAGGGTCTTGCCATGTTTGCCCAGGCTGGTCTTGAACTCCTGGGCTCAAGAGATCTGGCCACCTGTGCCTACCAAACTGCTAGGATTACAGGTGTGAGACACCATACCTAGCTAAACGTAGTGACTAGTTGAATTAAAAAATCTGTCAAGTTATGAGTTTATGCGATACAGATGGTCTCAACTTAGTATGGTCCAACTTACAATTTTTTGACTTTACTATGGTGCAAAGCAATATGCATTCAATAGAAGCAGAATTTCAAATTTCTAATGTTGATCTTTTCCCGGGCTGGCCATACGCAGTGCAATACACTCGCCAAGCTGGGCAGCGGCAGCAACCACAGCTCCCAGTCAGTCACACAATCATGAGAAAATAACCAATATTCTATGGTGTCCTGTGTTGCCCATGATTTTGTCCACATGTAGGTCTATTTAAGTGTTCTGGGCATGTTTAAGGTAAGCTGGGAAATACCATGATGTTTGGTTGGTGAAGGGTATTAAATGCATTTTCGACTTACAATATTTTTAATATACAATGTGCTCATCAGATAAAACCCCATCGTAAGTGGAGAAGCACCTGCATTGTGATGTTAGCTCCATGCACGCACTTCATCCGTGCTTTGCCTGATGCGTCTCTTCCATTTGGCCGTTTTTGAGTGGTATCCTTTATAAGAATAACCCAGTAATAGTAAGTTAAGTACTTTCTTGAGTTTTATAAGCGATTCTAGTAAATTATTGAACCTGAAGTAAAGGGTCATGGGTACCCTCAACGTTGTAGCCGATCACTCAGGAATACATTAGCCCTGATTTGCCAATGGTGTCTAACATGTGGGCAGTCTTGTGTGACTGAGCCCTTAACCTGTGGGGTCTGCATTAACTCTGGGTAGTTGGTGTCAGAATTAAGTTAAATTGTGGAACACTCGGTTGTTGTCCAGAGAGTTGGAGAACTCCTTGGTGTGAGAAAAAAAAAAAATCCACACATTTGGGATGAGAAGTATTGTAAGTAAAAGCATTTCAATTGATTATTTAATAAATTAAAAAATATTACTCTTATAGAGTAGATCAATGACAATAAGCTGAAATATAATGGACTGGAATCTCACTTCTAAGTTAAAACAAATTATTGGCATTGTGATTTTATTTCAAAATAGTATGGTCTTATCATCAACAGCATTCTCAAAGGATTCATTCACCAATTAATCTTGAAAGTAAAACACTTTGACATGGTTTCAAAATGTTTGAAACAACATTTATTTACATATTTTAAAGCTTGGCTGCAATGGCTGGAGGGATCTCACAACATGTCTGCTATTCTGTGCATTAAGACACAGGTGTTTAGATCTCTGGTTCTAGAGTTAGCCTTGCCGGGATTTCCATTTTAGTGCTCTGTCACTTCCTCACTGCACAATTTGGGAAAAATCACTTAACTTCACTGAGCCTCTCAGTTTCTTAGCTGTAAAATAGGATCAGCCATTGTCTCTGCTTCTTTGGTTGTGGTGAGACTGATGTAAGATAGAACTCAATGCATTGTCAGACACAGTAAGGCTCTATAAGTAATTCCACTTATTGCTGATACTATTGTTTTTATTGTAATCTTACTATTATATTTAAAATTGAACTCCTTCAGAACAAATCCCACTGAGCTCTACTTTATTCATAACCCACATGTGGCTGGCAGTCCTCCTGAGCAGCGGCATGATCAGCAATGCTTCAAGAGGCATGGAAGTATTTGAGAGCATCTGGCTCTTCAAAACCAGCTGGCCTGCCTCATAAACCCTACCTCCTGTTGTCTAAATTTCCAAAGTCAGCATGATACTGATAGGGGATTCAAGGAGAAGACAGTGCTGGCACTGAATAAGCAATAGCTCATTATTCTACAGGGTCACTTGTCATTGTCTTTCTCAAGATGGTAAACTCTTGATTTAACAATAAATGCCTTTGCCTAAATTACTCTAGCAAGACTTCCAGAGATGAGTTCTGTACTTTATACTGGTGTACGAGCATATGGTTAGCAATGCCTGCACAAGGAATGAGTTGACTTGTTTGTGGGATAAGGACATGCAAATAGTCTGGCTAAAGGCCAGAATGAGATAATGATGAGGATGGCCAGCCAGGCGCATTGCAACTAGGATCACACAGGACTCTTGATCTTCCAAAGCTAGAATCAGAGCCAAAAACAAGGACTAAAAGAATGCCAGATAAAGGAAGGATATGTATTATTCCTTAACTCCAGCATCTGTCTTATAGTCCCTATCAATTTTTTCCTCTATTAAAGTATTATTTGTGTAACTGTTTTGCCCCCTCTACTTGATTATGAACTTCATCAAAGCAGGTTTTATGTCCCATGCTTCTATGTACATGAGGGCCAACAAAGAAAATTCGATAAGGGGAGACAAATAAATTATTGATACAATGTCCTCATTCAAGCTCACCTTTAAAATAGAATGTTAAATGTTGACATGTATTAGTTATTAGACATTGAGTAAATACGAAAATCATCTGAATAATTGCAGTAAGTGGCACTATTTCAATTACAAGAGAAGATTCTTACAATTACTATTTCCTATTTAAGTACAAAGATGAAGAGGTTAAAAAGTAATGTTCAGAGGTAATTATCATGGATCTTCAGTATTTAATCAGAGTAAAGGTAAATCACCTCCTAAATGAATTTGTAAGTGGTAGTAAGTGCTAAGACACCATTCAAGATACTGAAAGGGATGGGATAAGGTTAAAATGAGAAGAAATATGTAATACCCCAAGCAAGATAGAAACTTATTTACAGAAAACTGCAAACAGAGGAGAATGTGTGAAAAACCAGGTGGACCAAATACCCAATGTTATTTTTTAATTTTTTTTTGTAGCATTGATTGAGTAGTGTCTCTAGAGAAGAAATGGAAGAGAAGTAAAATGAGTGGAAGAATGTAATGAGGTCTATAAAATCCCTGAAGACTAACTGGGTTTATAATCTAAATTAGATTAACAAAGTCTACACTCAATGGGGGATTCAATTAGGCAAGATCAATTATAATAACTGTACATTTTCAACAAGTTAAAAAAGAGAGGCAAAAGTGTATTACATCTAAACAAAATTAATTTATATTTTATGACAAGATTCCTGAGGACAGTAAAAAGGTGACAACAGGAAAGAATTAATTTGGGATTTCATAGACAACATTTTTATAAATGTACCTAAGTTCTTAATAGACATTTATCCATACAGAAATATGAAGCTAAAGTAGGAAGCACAGCTAGATAAGGAAGCTGGCCGATTGTTTTGCTTGGTCAATCACCTTTTTATGCCTTACTGAAGGGCATTAGTGGGAATTACATCCTTTGCATTGGCAGAAAATTGTCTTTCACTTTGTTTCATATTCTCTATATAAGTGATATTCTCTCAAAATTGTTGGAGACTTCTGCTGTGCTTAAAGGAACCTAGAATACATGTTCAGTCATGTGCAAATAATTATTTTAATCGATCCTTATTCCAAATAAGATTTTAGTGAGCTATCCAATATTTATACCAGTTTATTAAGAGATATTTCCATTTCCTAAAAATCAAAAAAAAGGAAGGAGGGAAGGGAGGAGGGAAGGAAGGAAGGAGGGAAGGAAAGAAAATGATAGAAGAAAACAGAAAGACAAGAAAAAACTAACAAAGTTAATATTTTAAAATATATTTTTAATTATTCCCTCTACTGTTAGAGAAGAATATATAGAATAGTTTTTGATTAGCTGAAGAAAAGAAAATTGATAGAAAGTAAAATACAATTTAAATTTTTATGTATTCATTTTAAAAATCAGGTATGGAAATATTATTATTCAAAGAGCTGTCTGTCAACAGAGGCTAAGTTTTTGACTAGAAAAGTAGCAACATGGGTCTTGGTTGTGAATATTGAGGACTCAGTTACAAAAGAAATCCCAGATACGCTTCAAGAAATCTAGATATTAGCCAGGATAGAAATACAGGGAGGAAGACATCATCCTAGATGAGCACTGGTATGAGCGAGGGATTCATGGAGTCGGGTATGTGACATTAACTTTATTACTAGGGAAGGCAGTACCAAGAGCAATGGCAGTAAGGATAATGTTGTCTACTGGTTTCAGGGATGGGCCTAGCTGTCAGAAGATTTGGGCTTAACGTGTTACTGTGTGACCTTTTGCAAGTTATTTACTTCTGATTCTTCACTTGTAATGGAGTACGATACTATCTATGTTATTGCCAGGTTATAAGGATGAAATCTGGGCCATGTGTCCAGTGAAGTAACTTACAGATAAGAAAGTCATTTTAGATGGTATAAATGTTAATAAAAATTATGATTTGTGGCCAGGAACTGTGGCTCACGCCTATAATCCCAGCACGTTGGGAGGCCGAGGTGGGTGGACCACCTGAGGTTAGGAGTTCGAGACCAGCCTGGCCAACATGGTGAAACCCCATCTCTACTAAAAATACAAAAAAATTAGCCAGGCATGGTGGTGGGTGCCTGTAATCTCAGCTACTCAGGAAGCTGAGACAAGAGAATCGCTTGAACCCAGGAGGCGGAGGTTGCAGTGAGCCGAGATCGTGCCACTGCACTCCAGCCTGGGCAACAAGAACAAAACTCTGTCTCAAAAAAATACATATGATTTGTTTGTTTTATTCTTGTTATTATCAATTTCATATTGTTTCTGTTACTTCTTCCTACCTAAAACAAGATTACAATCAAAACCGTTCAATGAAACGAAATCTACAGGGAGAGGTGAAATGGCCCCAGCTTTAAAGTAGAAGACTGGGATGCAGACTGGCTTGCATGTATTTAGACTTTGCAATGACTAACCTGAATGTCTCAGTTGAGGAAATTTTTCAAATTTTGATTTCACATAAAGTATTTGCTTCCATCTGCTTTTGAGAATGCTGTTAAATACGCTTGACAAGGGAGATGGGTAAAGATTGTGTGATTGCTACTTCCAAAGGAGACAGAGAGGAAAAAAATAACTAAACTGGTTTATTTAGTTAAAATGATCAGAATAGTAGTTTTTTTAATGTAAAGCTTCAGCATTTATCTTTTAAAGAAAATAATTATAATTAATTAAATATTCCCTAGTGCATATATTCCCAAAGAAACATAGGAAATTGGCATTGATGTCATGAAAGATGACACAGTCACATTGGTATTTAGTAAATCATTCTGAGTTCTTGCCTATTTTGACAACCCTTAAAAAACTGATGAGTACTGAAGAAGATGCAGCCTTAGATGAGTGCCATGGGGGTGAAAATGCAAGTGAAAAAGTACGACAGATTGCTTAAAAATTACTCCTTTCATTTCTTCAGTAGTGAAGATTTGATTAAGTTATAAGTCCACATCTCTCTCTAAGCAGAAAAGCAATAGAAACAAATCACTAGAAAAAAAATCAATAACTTTGAAAACATAATTAAATATTCTGTAAGTAATAACCACGAAATTAAAGGCAAATGATATTCTGGGAAAATATTTGCAGCAAATATACTAACTGGGTTACAACATAATCTCTACAAAAATTGTAGTGATAAAAAAGTCTTACATTCCAACATAAGCATTAGACAAATAATACAAACAGATAATATGCAGAAATAAAAAGCGAAGAGTCTGACTCCAACCTCAATCAATAAATTAAAAAGTGAAAAAGCAAATTACCATTCTTTACCAAACTAGCCTTTTTGTTTTCTCTAAAAGTTGTAAAGGGTCTGTATTGCTGGAGTGGGAATAAGAAAACGCATATACCCCTATACCACAGGGGTATTTCGGAAGGACAATTTTAAATGTGTCTTAAATATCTGTAAAAGTCTCTGGAAGCTCACAACAAAAGTTTATTAATTTCTTATTTTATCAAGGATTGACTGAACCAGTTTTCTCTGCTACATTCTTTACAAATTTTGGAAAATAGTTAGTGCATAAATTTTTATAATTACAGTCTTGGGAAATAACACTTTAGTCAATGACAGGCCACATGTATGACGGTTGTCCTATAAGGTACAGTATTTCTATTGTACCTCCTTAAGTTTAGTTATGTTTAGATGCACAGATATTTACCATTGCGTTACAATTGCCTACAGTATTCAGTTGAGTCACATGCTGTACGGGTTTGTAGCCTAGGAGCAATAGGCCATAGTATATAGCCCAGGTTTGTAGCAGGCTGTACAATCTAGGTTTGTGTAAGCACATTCTATGATATTCACACAATGACAAAATTGCCTCAAGATGCATTTTCTCAGAACATATCCCAGTCATTAGGCGACACATGACTATAATTAAATTGTCGCAAAAATACCACTTCCATCTAGTACAAAAATAAATTATATGCAATGCCAAACATACTTCTAAATATTTTAATTTCTTTGAGACATTCTAGTGTCCAGTAGACACAGCTATACAATGGCTGTATTACAAGGCATGCCTGTAATTTTTACTTCCTGTATATAATATGAATTTTAGAGATCACTCAAAATTAATCTTTGACACATTCAAACTACTAGAATATCTAGAAGTTAAATTCAGATGTAACACTTAATAAGTATCCAGATTTCTTGGGGAAAAAAGACAAAACCCAGTACGCATGCATGATGGGTTTTATTTTCTTATGCTTCTACAATCACAGAAGTTGCTGTGGCACCATCTTGGGTCTCAGAATAAATATTCATGGAGTAGAGCCAACATGTAGAGGAGTGAGAAATGCATGCTCCCAATTCGTCCTGAAATTCATTTTATTTGATTTCATGTATTTGAATTTTCTAGAAAAAAAGCAAAACTATAAAGACAGAAAGCAGATAATTGGTTTCTGGGGCAGTGGATAGGAATTAGCTATAAATGGACACGAGGCATTTTTAGAGTGATGAAAGGAGGCTAAAATGAATTGTTATTGATGGCTACATAAGTGCACTACAACACACGAACAGCAAACTTAACATGGGTGAATGTTATGTAAATTTATCTAAATTATGCCTCAATAAAGCTGTTTTTAAAAATGAATGTAATTTATATTTGCTGCATTTGTAGATATATTTGACTTATTTCTGTGATATTTTGTGTTTTATGATTATCAAGCTTTTTTTTTCCATTGCTATCAGATAGGTAAAATTCTCCTGGCAATTTAGCCCATACTAATATAACTGAAATTCATAAATTTTAAAATTTCCCTGTATCAACATCTTAGCAAAATATACATCTTAAATGCTGATCCAGATGATTATCTTCTTATGCCTTTACTTCCCTCTGATCTACACATGAGAATCCATCCTTCTCACTCTCAACCATATTTGTATTTTATTGCAAAATCCAGAGAATTATGGGAACAGTCTTGAAAGTCATCCCTCATTTAGACAACAATGTATGCTTCTAACATCTTGCCTCGCTCATAATTTCTCTACATTTGTCACTATACTCAACTTTCTTTTCTTTTTTCTTTTTAATTTTTTTTTTTTTTTTTTTTTTTTTTTTTTTTTTTTTTGAGACAGAGTCTTACTCTGCCTTCCAGGCTGGAGTGCAATGGCATGATCTCGGCTCACTGCCACCTTCGCCTCCTGGGTTCAAGCGATTCTCCTGCTTCAGCCTCCCAAGTAGCTGGAACCACGGGCCACCACTCCCAGCTAATTTTTATATTTTTAGTAAAGACAGGGTTTCACCATGTTGGCCCGGCTGGTCTTAAACTCTTGACCTCAAGTGATCCGTCCACCTCGGCCTCGCAAAGTGTTGGGATTACAGGCGTGAGCCACCAAGCTCGGCCCCTCAACTTTATTTTCTTTGTTTTGGCATCTCTCAGGTTGAATTTGGTGAGAGGCCCAAGAGCCCATGCTGAGTCTCGTCCTTCTAAAGCCCTTCACTAAGCATTGTGTTGTTCAGTGAATGTTCCTCCTCTGGATTCACATTACTACTCACTAGCACCTCATTTGACGGTGGATGTAGACTCATTTGCATGCTTATTTCCTGTTTTATGTTTATGCCGACCTTCTTAAATAAAATAAATCCTTTATGAGTTCTACCTCATTTTATTCCCCTTTTTCACCACTTTGACCATACTGATTCCCCCAAAACCTGTTCTAGAAAATGTATTTAATAATGTTGATGATGACAATGATGTCTAATGTCAATAATGACATGGTAAAAAATTTCTGTTTCAGGAATTTTTTTTTACATTCAATAAAGATACAATACATAGATGAAGTATAATTTTAAAACATGGTCACTTTCGGAATTCTGACAATCTTTGAAAAACCAAAAGAGGCAAAATGGAATTTTGATCCTGATATACCTTATCCAAACTTGAAAGAACAAGTGATTAAGATAACAAAGAAGACTTGATATTCTTGATATTTGGTCTGTGATGGAATGGCCTGGGAGACAACCCAATAAGCAGAGAGCTGGCCAGTAAGGTATACACTGGAAATAAGCATTTAATTACTGTACCCAAATATCATAAATTTAGAGTAATGAAAATAATATCTGAGGTCATTTAACTTGGATGATATCTCCATTTCTGATTTGTCCTACATGTATTGGGACAAATGTTATATTTATGCCAAATAATCACAATATCTTTTATAGGACAATCAATTGTTTAATTTCTTTCCAATATTTAAGATGGCTTGTAAGTAAGAGGTGGGAAAAACTAGTTTGAAAACAATAAATTTCTTTTTTTAACACTGTAATCAATATATGGGGATAGTTTTAATATTAAAAATCTTAAAATACATTTAAAAATATCCCCAATATATGGGGATAGCTTTAATATTAAAAATCACTAAGAAATTGAAGGCAGGTTAATTAGACTTCACAATTATAGGCATGTGTCAGTGACTTCCATCCATACCCCTTTTTTTGTATTAGCGATGCTCTCTGCTGTAGGAAATTGTATATTATGAAGATGGCATATCATGGAAATGGCCAACTTGGTAAGAACCAAAGGATGGGTACAGATGCCCACATTAATTCCAAACAAGGGGTAATAAAGTCAAGGTGTCCATGGCTTAGGTGGGCAGCTCGTACTGAAGCTTCTGATTTACTTCCCTATTTTGTTCAAGGAATCCAGAATCAAGGCTTAGAAGGCTTTATGTGTAGATGGAAAAGGGATCTTTAATTTTTCCGGGAAAAAAAGATAAGGAAATTTTTATCCTTAGATAGAGAGCACAAATGACAGAGACCCAAGCAATGATATCCAAAGAAGATTTCTTCTGAATAAAATTATTTTTTTTCCTAAAAAGGAAAACTTATTCTAATTGAAATTTCTTCATCTGGTATTTGTGACTATGATTTTACTAATTAAAAATTAAACTTTAAAAATTCAGAGAGTAAGCACCTGACAGAACTTGATATTACAAGGAAAAACAACAACAAAAAGAGGATTTTTAATCTATGAAACAAATGGCAAATTACCAAATGACTTTAGGAAGTGAACCTATTCCAGACTTAGGGTGACCAATGTATCCTTGTTGGCCTGGAGATGTCCTAGTTTGGACACTGAAATTGTTTATCCCAGGAAATCACTCTGTCCCAGTTAAACTAGAACATCAGTTACATTGTGACTAGAACATAATACTAGTAACTAACATAGACTGGCCTTCCACCTAGAAAATGATGGTGCTACCTTTAAATATGAAGGGTGTGCATCCGGAGGAGACATGCTTTTCCAAATAGCATATGGTGGAGGACTTCTCAAAGGGGAAATGAAAATTCTCCAACCCTGAGACTCAGGCACGTGAACTTCTTGATTAATGATTGTCTCGTTTGCCCAATATGTTCACCAGGTCTGTGGTGTGGGCCAGAAGCCAGCCACTACTCACGTTCCTCCCAAAAGAGTGAAACACCTGAAAGTTTAAGCTGGACCATTTCATCTGTTCTGGATTATAACTCAGGTTTAAACACTCAACCTAAACATATCACATGACCTGACATATTGGTCAGGAATAATTCTCTGTTGTTTTATATATTTTCAAAGTACTTATTTAGTAAAGTATTTAGACATGTTTCTGCAATAAGACTCGAAAGCACAATATAGAGCACATGGCTAGTTGGAAAGAGGTATACTGATACTTTTGATTATAAATATTTCCATGATCGGCACAAAAGTATAAAAATTTTCCTTAGAGTATCGAACTGCATAAGGACAGAATGATCATCCCATGTAAGGCATGATTGGAAGAAGGAAGTTAGTTATTCTATAGTTCTCTTATGTAACATCATTTCCTTTACATTTCCAGGCAGATAGTCCCGCCTTCCCAGCTGGGGGATGCAAACAGTGATCAGATATAGGTGGAAGAACAGGTGAAAGGGGTGGGACTAAAGGAATGGCTCATTTTGTTCCCAAAAGGTGTGCTAAAGAAATAAGGGGAGCTGGGTGCACATATTAGGTACACATAGGATTTGATCTGAATATTTCTTGATTGCATCAATTAGATTTTTTCCTAGTTTACATACTAACACATGTCTGATATGACTATCCTGACTATAGATATCATCAAGCTAGTTAAAATAACTCTACTTAAATCAACAGTCTATCTAAGGGAATTATAAATTAGGAAAAATGTACAATCTTTAAACTACCGAGAAGTATGAAGTAATGACAGATTATTAAATCAATTAAAGAAGGGCTGGATAAACCTGACAATGTAAGTCTGTGTCAAGTGGAAGAACATATTCTTGTCAAAACTGTAAAAATTCAGTTGGTTCTCCAGATATTTTGGTAACATTCATATGTTCAAATGCACAGCTCTTTGGATTTGCCAGGCAGACAAAACATGCTAATGATGGCCTGGATTGATTCAGTTTGTTCATCTCTCCTTCAAATGACTAACGCTATGTGGGCAGTCTTAATATTCACCAGTTTGTCTGATGATGTCTTGAAAAAAAAAGAAAGAAAACACTTCTGGAAAATATTTTTCTAAAAAGCTAATGTCTTGGAATCCCAGTCTTGGGAATCCCAGCTGCCTAAAAGGTGTGTGTGTGTGTGTGTGTGTGTGTGTGTGTGTGTGTATGTTTATGTTTGAAATAAATGTGTAAGAGGTAGGAAATCTATAGCTGGGATAGATAACTGATTGCAGAACAATCAGTTATCCCAAGCTATGTATATACAGAGTTGAGCAGGTCTTGATATAATTTGATTTTGAAACAGTCAATAGTAAAATAAGATCACAGGTTTTTGCATGCATTTTTTTTTTTTACCATTAAAGGCAGTTTCCCTGTTCAATCGATGCTTACCACTGTAGTCTGTTGCTTTATATTTGTTCCTAATTTTAACATTAATGTTCCCTGCAAATGTTCCTCAAATAATCTGGTTATAAGACCAAGTTTCCATTTACTCTTAGAGAACAGGAGTGTCAGTCACACTTTCATCCCAGGCAGTGATCAGGATTGGACTTCATGGCTGCCTGTGCCATTAATGTTAAGAGAATTTCAAGAACCAATGTTTTGTGGAGATTTCAAAATACTCAGCCGAATGACCTCAAACACAATAAAGGATATTATAGAATATTCTAGTCTACAAAGTATTATAAACAATTACATTCTCATATTTCTCATCACAAAACATGGTTCTTTTTCAAAATGTGGAAAATATATCTTAAGATAGATAAAATCTCAAGACCTTTATCACTTTAATTGTATTATAAATAACTAGTTTTGTTATGTAGACAGAGTACCATTCTTTCAAAAAACACTAAGTTGCCAATCAACATGCATTTTAGAGAAGGATTGTGGATTTTAGAATTGGGAAGTGAATGAGATTATGTTTTAGTAGTTTGCTCTATTCCAACTAGCCCTTTCCCCTCCCATGTTTTTCTAACTGACTTTATTGTTGTTGTTCATTCATAAAATCACTTTTACTGATGAGTTCTTGTGAAATTAGAAAGCTCCCACTTATATTTATTTATTTATTTATTTATTTATTTAATTTTTGAGATGGAGTCTCGCTCTGTTGCCCAGGCTGGAGTGCAGTGGCATGAGCTCTGCTCACTGCAACCTCCGCCTCCCAGGTGCAAGCAATTCTTCTGCCTCAGCCACCTGAGTAGCTGGGATTACAGGCGTGCACCACCATGCCCAGTTAATTTTTGTAATTTTAGCAGAGACGGGGTTTCATCATGTTGGCCAGGCTGGTCTTGAACTCCTGATCTCAAGTGATCCACTCGCCTTGGCCTCCCAAAGTGCTGGGATTACAGGCGTGAGCCACTGTGCCCCGCCCCCTTATTTCTTTAGCACACCTTTTGGGAACAAAATGAGCCATTCATTTACTCCCACTTCCTTTCACCTCCTCTTCCACCTGTATGTGATGACTGTTTGCATCCCCCAGCTGGAAAGGCAGGACTATCTGCCTGGAAATGTAATCATATCACATTGGGGTAAAAAAGAAAATTAATATTGATTGAAAAGCCTCCAGATTCTGACAGTATCTTTAATGGCATATCTTTTATCATCTCTGAGACACAAAATCTGATTTACTAATGAAACAAAACCTCTGAAATGAAATATTTAGCAACTTGTTTAAGGGCACACAGTAAGTGTCAGGGCTGATATTCAAGCTGGGATCTATCTTATGGAAAGGCCTTGGCTCTCGTATTACCTCTCACTAATCATCTTCAGAAGTAAATGTAAGAAGTTTAAATTATAAAAATTTCCTATTAACTTTAGATCAAGATGGAAGGTTCCTGTAATTCCTGCCTAGCTTGAATGTTTGATGATTCTATTGAACAAGATACTTTGGTTCGACCTATGGTCTTGCTCATAAGATACGTGATATTGAACAAGTCATTTCATCTTTCTCAAACTTAACTACACATCTAGAAAATACAAGAATTGAACAGAAATCTCCAAACAGAAAACTGGTATGATTATCTATAAGATACAATATTATATTATTCTTATTCTACCAATATTCTCAAAATTAGATTTTAGCCAAAACATGTTGACTGCCTCATTTAAAAATATGTTCCTCTTTTGGAATGCACATGATTCTAATAGTTGTCATTTGTTGTTTGAGTCTCTTATATGATTCAAAATAATATAAAATTTCAAGTCACTCAAAAATGGCGATTTGAGAATATATGTTAAATATGAAAGACCTTAGAGGCAATTAATCATCAAAATACTAAGAGAACAACTGCATATCCACAAATGGTGAAGACAGAGGCATATGAAACTCAGCATTCTTAAATAATAATTACCAGAATGTAATTTCAGTAGTTGTATAAAGGCATCATCTTATTGTAATATAACTACACAAAACAGTTTGTAGTTAACTTGAAAGACCCATGTGCTAAATCCACAACTTAAATCAAACTACATCTCATATAAATGAAGTAAATCTAGTCATTGTCTTTACTTACCTCTTGGAAGCAATTAGAAGCAAATAGAAAATGCTACTAACCATGACTAATCCAGGAAGAATGCAGTGATAGTTGGGACTTACCAAAAGCAAAGAACAGAACAATTTCTAATATTTTTAGCTTTCAGAAATTTCATATTTCATATTTCAATTTCATATTTCAGAAATAGGTAAATTTCTGAAATAAAATTTAATGAAAATTATGTGACCTCTCGGTATAAAATACTTCTTATAATAATTTGTTAAGTGACATAGAGAAAATGGCAAAGGGAAATAAAATATAGGTAAATGGAAGTTATTTGGCTGGGTAGAGGGTTCATAACTGCTCAATCTATTATTAAAAGCAGATGAATGGTTAGATCCATTTCTGTGATGCACATGTGCAATGCACCAAGGATGAACCAATTCCCTATGATTGAATTTTCTTAAAAATACAAACAAACCAATGGAAAATCATGTGCAATAATTATGTACAATAATTCAAAATTGTAATACCTTACAATTTTGAGATAGGGAAGAATTTATTTTTACAGAAACATGAGCTTTGTAATTATGGTAGAGAATAAGAGAATTTCATTTAAGTAAAATAAAAAAGGATTAAGCACATTGTGTAATACTGCAGATAAAAAATTAAAATACAGAGTTTCCATATTGGCAATATGCCAATGCATATTGGCATATGCATTAACATGCATAAATTAAAAATTAAAGTAATACTGGATATTATAATTGTTAAACAAGCATTTAGCACAGTATTGACAATTCTTGTCACAGTTTATAACATTTAATTCACAATCAGTGAGTGGAAAATGTGTTCTTTTCTAAATAAAACATTATTTCCTTTTTATATGGCCTATTGGAAAGCAAGTAAAAGCATTAATAAATAACTAAGCACCTTAGAAATAAGGTTGATGACTGAAGAACAGCCAGAATTTGAGAGCCAGATGTGTTCTGATCCTTCTTTAAAAAACATCCTTAAGAGAATAGAGAGGCATTTCTAGTTCCTACTTTGATCAATTAAGCAGATGCTAATCAAAGTAATCTAAATAGAATTATATCCAAAGTTTAATATGGATAGAGAAACTAAGACAGTCTTCATTTGTCACCATCATCATCAGCAGCATCAAACACCATTGCCAAATTCATCATCTTTATTGCCATCCTCATCATTGGTAGTGTTATACTTCTGAAACACACAACTCAAGGATTGTAGTGTTATGAGCAAAAGTGAGTTCATCTAGAGTGTGGAGGGAAAACATAATGTTGAAATACAACTTTAAACAAGACAGCATATGCTATTTACTGCTAGGAGATGGCAGCATCACGTAGCATACAGCCATCTAAGTGGCCATCATTCAGTGGCAACAAAGACAGAGTACAACATCTAAGGCGAAGAGACAGAAATATGAACAGCAGTTGCCCCTGCAAACCACAGCCACAGCTGCTACCCAGAAGACATACTACAAGTGAGCTTCCAATGCAAACTGTTTGATGTTAAATCACAGAGAGAGGAGCCAAGCTCTCTTCAGGTTTTGAATAAAACTCTGTTAAAATCAGTGCCGTGTTCAAGATCAATAATTGCTGTTTCATCATCAAAATACAAATACAATTATTTGTAATATGAATTAATTGTATGAGAGTACTCCAGGTTATTCTAATACTTTGAATCACTTCCAATCTGATACAGGTTTGTAAGTTATAGAATTAGAATTCATATCCTCATTTATTTGACAGAAGCCAAGAGAAATCTGTACCATATGGTCAACTAAAGATAATATTATCAAATTCAGTATATAACTCCTGATGTTCTAATATGTCCTATTCAGTTATTTTACATCCATTGTTATGGTTTATTGGAAAAAGAGCAACCTTATATCTGATAGGGTTATATATTGTTGTAGGTACCACACACATACAATTTTGTATGAAACAATGTTCCTTCCCTAATGGAAATGACATTCTAGAGGTCAAGAAAGGCATTAAACAAATAAACTAATAAATAATCATAAAATTCATAATTTTCAATCAATGACAGAAAAAAATAAACAGCACTGGAATAAAAAAAATGCTTTTAAATGTATTGGTTAAGAAGGTAATTTCTAAGGCTTTCTAAGGAGATAATATTGAGAGAAAAACCCAAAGTATGGAAAGGAAGCAGTCATGTAAAAAACCAAGGAAAAAGCAGTCTAGGCACATGGAAAGGCAAATTTAAAAGCCTGGAGGCAGAAAAGACCATCCTATGCATATCCGAAAATGTATCTGCAGGCTAATGTGGCCAGAAGGTTGGAGGGAGAGTGTAGGAACACAATGTTAGAGAAGTTGGTTAGGGATACATGCAAGGCATTAAAGACAGGGAAGATGGGCTGCACATGATGTTAAGTTTAGCAGGAAGCCAGAAAAGAAATTGAAGCAGGAGAGCAACAGGATTGGATTCATATCTTTCAAAGGTGATTCTAGTCCTTGGAGAGTTAATGAAATGCAGATTAGGCCAGGGGTGGGAAGCTGTGACAGAATAAGACTGGTTAGGAGGGTATGGCTGGAGTTCAAGCAAAAGATGGTACCAGCATAGACTGAGATGTCATCCATAATGATGGAGGCACAGGGCTGGGTGCAATATATTTTGGAGGTAGAATCTGCATACTTGGATTTGATGTGAAGGGTAATTAAAAGAAGACTCAAAATAATAACTTGGTAACTGATTTTCACTACTATTTGGATGAATGATTCAATTTACTATGATGGGGAAGAAACCAGTTCAAAGATCTTGAAGCATTTAGGGTTGGACATGCTACATTTGAGATGCCTATGAGACATCCAGGGAAACTCAATTTTATGTCCTCACCTAAAAATGTGAAGAGAGATCTAGGTTGGCACCATAAAATTTTTAAAAATATGAACAAGTAGATGGTATTTAAAACTGTGGCATATAATCTGGCAATCCCACTGCTAGGTATATACCCAAAGTTATATACAAGATATACCTAGATGGTATTTAAACCTGTGTCTTATAATCTGGCAATTCTACTTCTAGGTATACACCAGAAGGTGTATACTGGAAAGGAAATCAGTATATGGAGGAGATACCTTCACTCCCATATTTATTGCAGCACTGTTCACAATAACCAAGATTTGAAGTCAACCTAAGTGTTTATCAACAGAGGAATAAATAAAGAAAATGTGGTACAGATATACGATAGAATACTATTTAGTCATAAAAAATGAAATTCTGTCATTTGCAACATCATAGATGGAGCTGGAGGCCATTATGTTAATAAAACAGGCACAGAAAGACAAATTTTGCAAGTCTCATATATGGGAGCTAAAAAATAAAATAATTAAACTCATGGAGACAGAGAGTAGAAGGGTGGTTACCAGAGGCTGGGAAGCGTAGCAGGGAGTGTGGCAAAAAATGGGGATTCTTAATGGGTACAAAATATAGTTAGACAGAATTAATAAAATCTAGTGTTTCATAGCACAACAGAGTGATGGCACTCAATAATAATTTACTGTATATGTTAAAATAAATAAAAGAGTGAAAGTGGAATGTTCCTAACACAAAGAAATGATAAATGCTTGAGCTAATGAATATCCCCAATTACCATGATTTGATCATTGCACATTGTATGGCTGTATCAAAACATAACAGGTACCTTATAAATACATACATGTATCTACTATGTACCAATAATAAAAAAAACTAAAACGGTGGGCAAAGAGATAACCAACAGATAGTATAGCTTGAGATAAAGGTGGTCAGGATTTCACCGGCAAAGTATGGGTAGAGGAAAGTCAGAAAAAGGATGGAAGCGCAAGATCCGGCAAAGTCAAAAGAATGGTGTGGCTCCATGGAAGGGTTTCAGGAAGGAGGAAGCAAAGGATTGTTTTCAAACCTGTTGGAAAATCTGTGATAATGTAATCAGGAAACATAGGATAATGCAGGATCAATTGTTGTCCCTGATAAGACAAGTGTCAGTGGATTGATGGGGAGAGAATTCAGTTTGGGGTGGATAGAGGTGTCAGTGAGAAGAGAGGAACGGGGACAAAGAAAGTGTAGAATGTGATTTTAAGACAAGTAATAGACTGATAAACAAGGAAGAGAATTCCTTGCATAAGGCTGGGGATACGGGGTCCAGAACATCTGAGAGGAATTTTAACAGGAAGAAGATGGGAATGGTTGGTATGAATGTAAGTGTGTTTTCAGTTCCAGTGAACCATGAGGATACTGCTGTCCAGTGGCTTCCCTTTCTTTACTAAGTGTGAGGAAAGGGCACACGGGAGAGGAGGAGATGGCCTAACGAGACAGGGAAAAATTGGTCATCTCAAATTATGGGGAAGGAAAATGCTGGAACAGCATGATTGCAAGAAGTGTTAATTATCCATTTGAGTTCAATAATCTACGAATTTAAAGGAAAATTGGTCAGTTGGTTTTGTGGGCTCGCTCTCTCTCTCTCTCACTCTCATTCTCTCTGTCTCTCTCTGTCTTTAGAAACCTAAAGCTGCTTGCTTTTGAGGCATGGAGAATCTGATTTGAACCCAACAAATAAATTCTAGTTGCAATCTTGGCATTTTTCTTAACTTTTCCAAATATGTTTGCTCTTTTATGCCTACCTGTTGCCATTTGCAGATTTGTTATTTTCTCATTTCTTCTGTGCCTTTTTTTAACCTGTGCATTTTTTAAACTTGAAATTTATGTCTCAATGAATTCACAGTCACAGGTAAAAAAAAATCAGTATGTATGAATATGCAGGCGCCAATTATATAGGACTCACATGTATTTGTATATGTGTATACATAAAAATATATGTATTAGAAAGCTCTAAAATTAAACAACTGTGTGTGTGTGTGTGTGTGTGTGTATTGTCCCTCCATTTACAATCTTCCTTTTTTTTTTTTTTTGCTCATCTATTCCATTTATTTTTTTATTTTATTTTTTTAAATTATACTTTAAGTTTTAGGGTACATGTGCACAATGTGCCGGTTAGTTACATATGTATACATGTGCCATGCTGATGCGCTGCACCCACTAACTCGTCATCTAGCATTAGGTATATCTCCCAATGCTATCCCTCCCCCCTCCCCCCACCCCACAACAGTCCCCAGAGTGTGATGTTCCCCTTCCTGTGTCCACGTGTTCTCATTGTTCAATTCTCACCTATGAGTGAGAATATGCGGTGTTTGGTTTTTTGTTCTTGCGATAGTTTACTGAGAATGATGATTTCCAATTTCATCCATGTCCCTACAAAGGACATGAACTCATCATTTTTTATGGCTGCATAGTATTCCATGGTGTATATGTGCCACATTTTCTTAATCCAGTCTATGATTGTTGGACATTTAGGTTGGTTCCAAGTCTTTGCTATTGTGAATAGTGCCGCAATAAACATATGTGTGCATGTGTCTTTATAGCAGCATGATTTATAGTCCTTTGGGTATATACCCAGTAATGGGATGGCTGGGTCAAATGGTATTTCTAGTTCTAGATCCCTGAGGAATCGCCACACTGACTTCCACAATGGTTGAACTAGTTTACAGTCCCACCAACAGTGTAAAAGTGTTCCTATTTCTCCACATCCTCTCCAGCACCTGTTGTTTCCTGACTTTTTAATGATTGCCATTCTAACTGGTGTGAGATGATATCTCATTGTGGTTTTGATTTGCATTTCTCTGATGGCCAGTGATGGTGAGCATTTTTTCATGTGTTTTTTTGGCTGCATAAATGTCTAAACCCACAGCCAATATCATACTGAATGGGCAAAAACTGGAAGCATTCCCTTTGAAAACTGGCACAAGACAGGGATGCCCTCTCTCACCACTCCTATTCAACATAGTGTTGGAAGTTCTGGCCAGGGCAATTAGGCAGGAGAAGGAAATAAAGGGTATTCAATTAGGAAAAGAGGAAGTCAAATTGTCCCTGTTTGCAGACGACATGATTGTATATCTAGAAAACCCCATTGTCTCAGCCCAAAAGCTCCTTAAGCTGATAAGCAACTTCAGCAAAGTCTCAGGATACAAAATCAATGTGCAAAAATCACAAGCGTTCTTATACACCAATAACAGACAAACAGAGAGCTAAATCATGAGGGAACTCCCATTCACAATTGCTTCAAAGAGAATAAAATACCTAGGAATCCACCTTACAAGGGACGTGAAGGACCTCTTCAAGGTGAACTACAAACCACTGCTCAATGAAATAAAAGAGGATACAAACAAATGGAAGAACATTCCATGCTCATGGGTATGAAGAATCAATATTGTGAAAATGGCCACACTGCCCAAGGTAATTTATAGATTCAATGCCATCCCCATCAAGCTACCAATGACTTTCTTCACAGAATTGGAAAAAACTACTTTAAAGTTCACATGGAACCAAAAAAGAGCCCGCATCGCCAAGTCAATCCTAAGCCAAAAGAACAAAGCTGGAGGCATCACACTACCTGACTTCAAACTATACTACAAGGCTACAGTAACCAAAACAGCATGGTACTGGTACCAAAACAGAGATATAGATCAATGGAACAGAACAGAGCCCTCAGAAATAACGCCGTATATCTACAACTATCTGATCTTTGACAAACCTGACAAAAACAAGCAATGGGGAAAGGATTCCCTATTTAATAAATGGTGCTGGGAAAACTGGCTAGCCATATGTAGAAAGCTGAAACTGGATCCCTTCCTTACACCTTATACAAAAATCAATTCAAGATGGATTAAAGACTTACATGTTAGACCTAAAACCATAAAAACCCTAGAAGAAAACCTAGGGATTACCATTCAGGACATAGGCATGGGCAAGGACTTCATGTCTAAAACACCAAAAGCAATGGCAACAAAAGCCAAAATTGACAAATGGGATCTAATTAAACTAAAGAGCTTCTAGCACAGCAAAAGCAACCACCATCAGAGTGAACAGGCAACCCACAAAATGGGAGAAAATTTTTGCAACCCACTCATCTGACAAAGGGCTAATATCCAGAATCTACAATGAACTCAAACAAATTTACAAGAAAAAAACAACCCCATCAAAAAGTGGGTGAAGGACATGAACAGACACTTCTCCATTTACAATCTTTCAATGGCTTCTGGCTGCCTTCAGGATGAGGTTCAAACCTCACACCTTGCATAAAAGGCTTTTGTGTCTTCTAGCTATAACCTTTTTCACCCTGATAGTTCTTCATACAAAACAGAAAATGAATATTCCTGTCCATTTTTATCCTATCATCTTCAGATTATCACTTTAAATTTATTTTTCACTTTATATGTTTATCTACCTATATCTATAAGAAAGACTTCGATAACTCGAATAATTTTTTTTAGCCTTAAACTGAATATTTCCTCATGCCACTGGTCATTCTTCTAAACACTATATTTAAAGTCTGTTTAGAGTTAACTCCCACTAAATTATGATGATTAATAAATTTCATGATATACTAATTTAAGGACATAGATAGACAAAGATATAGATAGAACTTCTAACTATTCACTTTTGTAGATAATGCTGTGGCATGTATCCTTTCATAAGAAAGTCTTTTTTGTTTTTTTGAGACAGAGTCTCATTCTGTTGCTCAGGCTGGAGTGCAGTGGTACAGTCATGGCTAATTGCAACCTCGAACTCCTGGGCTTAGGCGATCCTCCTGCCTCAGCCTCCTGAGTAGCTGGGAGTACAGGTGTGTGCCATCATACCCAGCTAATTTAAAAACAAATTATATAGAGATGGGGTGTTGCCATGTTGCCCAGGCTCCTCCTGCCTCAACCTCCCAAAGCACTGGGATTACAGGTATAAGACATTGCAGCTGGTCTTAAATGAAAGTTTTAATCCATCTCTGATTACTTCCTAGAACTTGAATGACTTGGTTAAAAGATGAGGACCTCAAACATATTGATAAATTACAATTTGAAGATGTTATACTAGGCAATGCTTCCATGAAAAATGTATGAGATTGAGTTTTTGTTTCACGACACCACTATCATCCCATGTTAATATTATTTTAAATAGTGTTACTAATTTATTAGGAAAAATGACAAATACTACCCATAGACCTATAACTTCATTTATCTATTTTCCTGACTAAGAACTGTGGGGAGTTCAAGGAGGGCGCCTGGTATGTCTTATTTACTGTTGTATGATTCCACATGCCTGGATCAAAACTCACAGTAAATGTTTAATATTTGACTGAATCAACAAACTGTTTTCCAGAGTCCAAGGTCTATATGTCTAATTGCCTGCCATCTATCTCCATCTGAAGAACCCATAGAAATTGCAAACTCAGCGTCTTATAAATTAAGCTTATGTAACTTCCTTGACTTGATTAGCTCCCCAACCACTCTGAGTTACCCAAGTTTGAAGAGTTCAGTCATGCTTGAGTTTTCTTTCTATCTCAGAATCTGTACTGAATAAGCCACAAACTTGAGTATTCTCGAGTACCTTTCCATTGTCTCTCCTAAATACTTTCAGTCCCTTAGTTCTGGTTTTAATTTTTTTTTCACTTGAACCATAGCAATGGCCTCCTACAAGGGAATTCCACCGCAGACTTCTCCTTCTAAACAGCCCCATTAGCTACATGATTGGCTGTTTCTCAGCAGCAGCAGAATTGATATTTGGAGCAGATAATTATTGTAGTCCTGTCCTGTTCACTTAGCAGCATCTCTGGTTTCTCCTCACTACAGGCCAGCAGTACATCTCCCACTGACAGCAAAAATGTCTCTAGCCATTACCAAATGACCCCCAAGGGGCAAAATCACTGTCCACTCCCTACACTTGTTCAGAACCAGGGATCTACACTGTGGTTTCAAATCCTCTCAAGCCTCTTCATTTCCTGGCGGCTAACATGCAGATTTCTTATTATGACATTTTGGCTCCATGAACTGTGATCCCAACCCACATTTTCCAGCTTCATTATTTGCTGACTTGCACACTCCATTTATCTTCTATCTTTCCTCTCTCAAATTAAATAGAACACGCTGTTTCTGAAGCATACTATGTGTTCTCTTTTTATTCACTTCTTTGCACTAAAAGTCTCTCCCTCTCTTATTTACGTGAAAAACTCCTATCCCTTCTTCAAGATTCATCTCATGTGTCATCATTTCTACAATTATTTTCCTGATTCCAGCATGCTTCAAAAAAATAGCTCTCTTACAGTACTAGTACTTTGTTCTATATTATTATTTCTATGTTGGTTACGCCTTGAGAGCAAGAATTGCCTCCCATTGATCTCTGTACACCCAATTCTGAGCATAATAATTAGCCAGTCCATGGTGAGCATTCAATAAATGGTTAATGAGTTCAAATATACTATTGATTGTTTTAGGTGAGCCCACATTCATACCCCAGCATAGCTAAAGCACAGGCTTTCACCTTTTCAGTGAATGGCTCCAAGTTTTGGTACAACCTAAGCATGTCTCTCTCAATATTGACACAATATTCCTTGCACATTCAAAATTATTCTTATGCACTGTATGTCTCTGTACTTTTCTGATTCAGTCCTTGCATTATATTGTATGCAAAGTAAATATACAGGCCAGGCACGTTGGCTCACGCCTGTATTACCAGCAATTTGGGAGGCCGAGGTGGACAGATCACTTGAGGTCAGGAGTTCGAGACCAGCCTGGCCAACATGTTGAAACCCAGTCTCTACTAAAAATACAAAAAGTATCCAGGTGTGGTGGCAGGTGCCTGTAATCCCAGCTACTCAGAAGGTTGAGACATGAGAATTGCTTGAACATGGGAGGCAGTGGTTGCAATGAGTCAAGATCATGCCACTGCACTCCGGCCTGGACGACAAAGTGAGACTCCACCTCAGTAAATAAATAAATATACAGATAATTGTATTTAAAATTAAATTACAATTAAAATTATACACATGTACAATTTTGTATATTGTACATTTCACAATTTGTATTTGTACACTGTACATATGCATTATAAAATAATATACATATAATGAATATATACAATGAATATGTACAATGTTCATTAATATAAAGCATGTATCATATACAATAAAGTCACTTTATTTCTATACAAAATATATGATTCTCATTAATCTCTGACTCTGGCTGTAATGTCTCTGAATTTCCAGCCTCTACAACCTGGAAAATCGAGAGCTGAGTAAAATTTCATTTTTGATTGAGTACATGTAAGCTGAGCACTTAGCTAGCTCATTTCCTTCTATTTAACTGCAAGAGACAATTTAAGAGGAAAGTAGGAAATGGATATAGCCCTAGAAGCTCTGAAATATATCCTTACTGATGATTCACAAAGAGTAGAAGGAATAATGATGAAGTGCCTCTAAAGCATATTGATGGGTTTCCTTGAAAAGCAAAGGAGATTGTTAGGAGCAGTGGGTTGGAGAAACATATATTAGCTATGGTTTCGTGGGAAAAGCCATCAGCCATTATCTGAGTTTGTGCGGAGGTCAACATTGTAACACCAGTGAGGTCATCCTTGAAGCATTTTTTTTTCCCCTCACATACCACTATCTATTAGCATGCACATTTTAGGGCAGTAGTTTAAAATACTCAATAAATATTAATAATTTATTAAATTGGCTATAGAAGTGAGAAATGCTGTTATTTGCACATGATCAATAGAGGGGTACAAGAAGATATTAAATGACTTGATCATTATAGTCAAACCAAAAAATAGGACTTATGTTTGATTAGACAAGATTCAACGATAAGCTATTCTGTAGAATTCAGTGATTGGCCTTTAAGTATTCTAAACTGGTTAGACATAACAGAAGACACACATATACTGTCTAAGTATAATAAAATTATTTTAAAAACAAGCATTTGGATGTCAGGAATTTTCTGTTTTCCTAGTAGTTCCCCCACACAGAGTTCTCTGTGTTGAGGATTTTTCAATCCATATCCTTAGATAAGGAGAGAACACAGTGTCACTCAACACTGGCTCTTATACAGAATTGACAAATTCAAAGCATTATTATTTTCTCTGGTAACAAAGAAAACACAGCTTTATTTCATTGATTAAAATGACTCAGATGTAGAAACTCCAGAAATCAGTCTGTTCCTACAGAGGAAAAGGAAACACATTAGGTGTGAAAGTCTGAGTTTTAGCTCAACTGTTGGCTTAGTTCCTGATTAAGGAGGCACCTTGAATCATCATTTTAGGAAATCATAGTCATTATACACCTCCCTCCTCTAGGTTCTCAAATTTGAGGTTAAACCCAAAAGTTTTGTAAAGCATGAAAGTAATTTTCACAAAGGAAAGAAAATTTATATATGTTTTTAAATGCCAAAACCTAGAGGGAAATGACGCTATTAAATTTTCCTCACGCCTCAACCTTAAATGGTGATTGTTTAGATGGTACATAGTGTTCTTCAGAATGGGAAAGGGAGAATTGAACTAGATGGCTTGAAAACATTAACTATAGCATAAAATATGAATTTTGCAGAAAGTATATTCACCTCCTTCCAATGACAGAAAATGTAAAAATCAGAAGTGTGAAAAATTTGACATGTATAACTATGAAAGAACCATGGACCCTCTTTAATTCAAAAAGCACATTATATCTGGAATTACTTACAGGTAATGAAAAAAATGTAAATGATAGAAACAGAAATGATGATATCATTCAGAGTTTAACAGTGGAAAAAGAATATTAAAAGAAGTCAACTTCTATGGGCCAAATCACAATTTCTCATTCACTGTAATTGCAAATATTGGTTCCTGAATGCAGCAGAATGCAAATAGAAGAGAGCAGCACCATGACAATGCAATAGGCAAAGAAAGGCAATACATTTAAATAAAATTGCATGCATGTGTCCATTTGCATTGTAATTGAAATGGTAATTTGAAGGCTAAGCACAAAATTATCCTAGGTATAGAATATATACTGAGAAATTTGCAGTTCTGGCTGTAAGTTGACAGGCTTTTGAAATGGTTACTGTAAAAAGATGGACTATCCATATATGGAAGAAAAATGGCAGGTAGAAAGGGAACACTTATTTCACTTATCTCTGTAGTTCTTTTCCTAATTTTATTGTTAATGGGAGTAAAATTTCATTTTTATTTTTCATTCTTTAAAATCTTTAGCCTTTAAAAAGGATAAAATCTGCCTTCTCTTTCTAATTCTCAAACTGACCATCTATGTTTTTCTTATATTGTAGAATTAAGATTAAGAATACCTTATCAATAAAGTTCAAGCAAAGATTGCTGAATATAGAAGAGTAATTGACAGTCCTTCACAACAGAAGAAAAGGGGACTTTTCAGTTTGTCTAGTACCTTGAAAAGAGGCCATACAAGTACAAACTTCAAGCATAATTTTACTATTTTACAAACCCACCACATGTGATTTTTCTTCTCCATTGAGAATAAGAAAACAAAAGTCAGTGGTAAATATGTAATCATATCTACATTTTATACACGGGAGTTCAAGCAACAAAGTACATGAGAAGACTCCAGAGCCCACTGTCTTATTTTCTCAAAGTCTATCCTTCTGAGCCATTCAAGTGCACTGGGCACTTGGATTTATTCCTTAAATGAATTGTAGACAAAATTCAGTCCTCATGTCTTGACTTAGCATTCCAAATGAAGGAAAACCTTGAAGAGCCTGTATGTCCCCACCAAAAAACAAGCCACCACCTAGGATAGCTCCAAGCTTTCCTCTGGCAGCAGAATTTTCCGAGTAACGATGTATTAAGCACCCACATTACTAGGCATTTTATTTGTATTATATCATGTGTAAGAATTATATAAATGAAGTGATTACCCCATTCTATGCATGCTAATGAGGCCAAGGCTCACTGAGGTTTGGTAGATGGCACCAGATCACACAGGTCATTCAATTAAGCATTGGCAATAGGATTAAAAGGGCAAGACTGGGGCTGGGCACAGTGGCTCACACCTTTAATCCCAGCAGTTTGGGAGGCTGAAGCGGGAGGATCATCTGAGGTCAGAAGTTTGAGACCAGCCTAGCCAACATGGCGAAACCCTGTCTCTACTAACATTACAAAAATTAGCTGGGCGTGGTGGTGGGCGCCTGTAATCCCAGCTACTCCGGAGGCTGATGCAGGAGAATCGCTTGAACCCCAGAGGCTGAGGTTGCAGGGAGCTGAAATCGTGCCACTGCACTCCAGCTTGGGCAACAAGAGTAAAACTCTGTCTTAATAAAGAAGAAAACAAGGCCAAGACTGTCTGGTTCTGAAGCATACCATTTCCGAAGCATTAACCACTTGACCTCCTTTTGCCGATATATTACATTTCACCCTCAATTACAAAGGCTCCACCTAAGTTGCCAGTATGCCACCACTGTAATTACCTCTGCATGCTTTCAGGCTCAGGCTTAGTCACATTTTGCTATATTTTTGAAGCCACATCTGCAAGATCATGTCACCACACTTTATTTTCCTCCACACACAAATTTCCAATGGCTATTAAAGTTTATAAGAGTTTCCCTAGCCTAGTGTGGAGTGTGCATATAAGCAGCTATATACCCACCAACAAAACACAAAAATAAACGGAGGTTATAACACTTCCTCTTGCTTATGGGATTCCTGACTCACAAGGTCCAATACATATCTTGACCCATTTCCCATTGACGTCCATGCTCACAGTTAGTGACATCAATTTTCAGGAATAACCCCAGTTATGTTTCTGATTCAACACACTATTTCAGTATTTCAGTGCACAGATTCAATGTTTATCTTTCCAGATTCTAAACAAAATTTTTTTGGATTGTGATTTTTTCTTTTTGTACTAGAAATGTATCTGTGGAATGATGTGTGTAATGTCCTAGGCAATTAGACCCCTCACCCAGGGCCTGTCTCCCTGTATGCAACACTTAGAGAATATATTCATGCTTAGTTTCATCTGGCCACATAATATTCCTTCCCCTCCTTAAATATTATGAATTGACTAATAATCAATGAAAGAAAATTACTGTATCCAATTAGAGTTTTCACAAAATATATGCCTTTCTCTTCTTTAAAACTGTAGTGATTCTGGCAGTTTAAAAAAAAAAAAAACAAAAAAAACAATGAATCGAAATATTTAATCCAACATTCCAGGCAAATATGATTTCTGAGGGATAAGGAGGTACATGTCTTCATTTATTCTACCCACACAAATTAAGAACTTACTATTCTTATCTGATATTTTGTTGTCATGTATAGCAGTTAAATTTTTTTATGTTGCAAATGACTGACATTTACTGAATTTAATTCAGCTTCATTTATATTGAAAAACATAATTTATGACATTAAGTAACTGAATAGTTTAGGCTTATGCTGGTCTTAAGCATGGCTTGATCCAAGGCTGAAATGATGGTGCTAGTATACATCTTTCATCTTTGTGTCTTATGTGACATACACTGGCTAACTCTTCATCAAGCCATTTCATGTTTCTCCTAAATACACAACTAGATTACATTATATAATCTCCCTTACGCTTAATATGGCCATGTACTGGCTCTAGCCAATAAAACGTATGTGAAAATGATGCCTGCAACTTGTAGGCAGGCCCATTAAGATCCCTCAAGCACTATCGTCCACTCTTTTTCTCCATCTGTTAACTGAATACTGGTCTTGGAATACGGATGCTGAATACAGACCCTTCATCAGCTTCATCCAGCCAAGCACCAACACAAACACCCCCACTAACTGGAATTTCTGAGTGAAAAATGGATTTCTATTACATTAAACTCCAAATATTTTGAGTTTATCTGCAGTAGTAAGTAGCACTGGCTTAATCTAGTTGATGTTTCCTGCATTCTTGGAAAGCTCTCTGTATGTGGTCATAAGACATGTTACTATTTCCTTTACAGGTGTATCTTCCACCAGTCATCACACAGAATTCATGAGCTTCACTCTGATTAGGCCAGTGCAGGTAGTATGTCTACTCCGGAATTAATCATTGCTCATTAACTGGGTCTCTTCCCTAGGCCCCACCCTAGAGCTGGGAGCAATCAGCTTCTAAGCACATGCGTCTGTTGGAGGAGCGCAGAGAAAAGTGAAGCTATTCAAACCAAATGGTAGTTGTGTTGCCTTGAATGATAGGAAATGGAATCTGGGAGGCCACATTCAGCAAATGTTTGCTACCCTAGAGAGACAAAGATAAGAAAGCCCAAGTTTTATCTGTTATCTTTAGTACACAATTCATAAGTTTTTAGTAATTGTGAAAGCAAAATTCAAATAGAGACCACATCTGAAAAATTCCTTAGCCAACAATACCAACTAGGCCTTAAAAATAGTCTTGACCTTGCTTACACTGCAAACGTGGTTGAAACTTAATTTGGGTCATTTCTGGTAAGTGCTTGTGTTAGAGAAAAGCAAAACTTAAAACCCCAACCAATGAAAAGCAGCCAAGAAACATCTGAATAACATCTGAGTGCCTATAATCTCAGCACTTTGGGAGGTCGAGGTGGGAAGATCACGAGTTCAGGAGATCGAGACCATCCTGTCTAATACATCTCTGTCTCTACTAAAAATACAAAAAAATTAGCTGGGCGTGGTGGTGGGCGCCTGTAGTCCCAGCTACTTGGGAGGCTGAGGCAGGAGAATTGCTTGAACCCAGGAGGCAGAGCTTGCAGTAAGCTGAGATCATGCCACTGCACTCCAGCCTGGTCGACAGAGCAAGAATTCATCTCAAAAAAAAAAAAAAAAAATTTGCCGCAGGTTTTTCTTTGTTTTTTCTTTTTTTTTTTTTTAGCAGCATAAAAATTTTACTTAGGAATATGGAGATAATTAAGAAAATGCAAAAGAATTTGAAAGTTTTTCCCATGAGAAATACACCCTCCATTTATTTCAATATTTGCAGTCATCATAATCTTCATTCTTGATGTTCCTTGGAGAAAATTCATCCACTTCATTCTAATATTTCACCAATTTCTTTGTAAAATTAAAATGTAATAATTTTATAATTATAATTTATGGGGAACATGGGCTATTGTGATAGCTGCATACATAACAGCATGGTATTGGCAATAAAAACACACACATACAAGAAAAATGTTTTGACATACAAATCTAGGATATGTCCCAACTAGTTTCTAAAAAATCATATGGTCCAATGGAGTTCTGAAATAAACAAGTTTTGCCAAATTTTATTTACTTTCATCTTTTCAGCCTGGAGTAAAACATCATATATTTTCAAAGGTCTACTTCTAATAACATTTTATTTATTTATTTATTTATTTATTTATTTATTTATTTTTTACTTCAAATGATGGAGCAGGTATTGAGAGTGTGAAAAATCCTTTTTCTAGCTATCCCTATGCTCTGCTTCCTCACATTCTTCAGTTTCCAGCTCAAATGTCAGCCTATTAACAAGCCCTCAAGACCTTCTTTTAAGAAGCCTCCCAAGGACTCAACATCTCCATAACACAATTTGATTGTTCCCCAAAGTGCATTTCACCATCTGACATATGCTATCTTAATGTATTGATTGGAGCTTCTCACTAGGATGTAAGTTACATGAGGGCAGGGACTTAATTTATTTTGTTTATTTCTACATAACTGGCAATGCTAATCATATAACACATGATCAATATTTTCTGATGTGGTGTTAAGTTGGTTCCTCATTTATTTACATGCATCCTGTACACGTACCTATTTACAAAGTTCTAAGTATTTTATTATTCCTATAGTAATAATATGATTGACACTATTTACAAGTAGTATTAATACCAGCATGCTTAATACATTTTCAAAAAATATTTGACTAAGAATACCAGTACAAGCTACACATTAGTCACTATACAACACTTCTTTACACTGTAACATAATTTATGGAGATATTTCATTTCTTAAACTCTGATTTGTCTTCTTTTAAATATTTTGCAGTGTTATGAAGCAAAAGATTGGAATGTATTTAAAATAGTGCCAGCTTATCTTTAAAGAGTACTTCATAAAGACTATAATTTCAGGGATCATATCTATAGTTTGTTACTAGAGAACTAGAGAAGTTTTTCTGAACGTGTAGAGCACCAAAAAAAAAAAAAAAAAAAAAAAAAAAAAAAAAACCAAGAGTATTTCATGGTAAGTACTAAATAGATGGCTTCTTTTCCTGTAAGTTGACAAAAGAATTGAAGGAAGAAAGGAAGGAAGGAAAGAGTAAAGAAAAAAAGTGAATTAGAAAAGAAAAACTATACATACAAACACACACCATCAAAAAGAGAGGCAATGAGTACATATGTTTGTATTGGTCTTGATTCATGGTTCCCAACTGAGGGTAAATTTCTCCTCTACCCAGGAAACAGCTGGCAACATCTGGTGACATGTTTGGTTGTCATTACTTGGAGGAGGATCTACTCTGATACTGGTATCTAGTGGGTAGAATCCAGGGATGCTACTGACATATTAAAATGCCGAAGACAGTTCCTACTCATAACAAAAACTACCCAGCCCAAGATATCAATACTGCCAAGATGAAGAAACCTTGGTTTTGATCCTGGCTAGTTTGTAGAAACAAGTTCTTGCTATGTTGACCAGGCTGCTCTCAAACTCCTGGCCTTAAGCAAACCTTACAAGCCTGAGCCACTATGCCGGGCTAGAATTTTAAAAATAAAACAAAACAATGTCTCCCTGAGAATTGAATAACCTAAGCTAACCCTCACATGGATTTGGGACCTAAATTCATTCCAAGTAGCTCCTGATATTGGAAAGTGAGGGAGAAGGGAGTAAAAAAAATAGACCATTGTTTTCCAGGAAGCGCTTTTAAACTGAAAGGAACTGGGAGGAGTTTTTTGTGCGGCACCCCCTCCCCTTTTTTTACTTAGGAGGGGGCAGGGGGCATCTCAATAATCGAAACAAAACTAATAAATACCCTCGTTGAGAAAAAAAAACTTTCAAAGTATAACGCTGTAAATTACCTACAAAATAGTACATTTTCCATTCATATTAAGCATAGGAGAAAAGCGGAAAACATAGTTTCAGATTTTAAGAAAACAAAAGGCTCTACTTACTAATTACTACAGAAATTTAATGTGATACAGTTTTTTTCCTCAACTGTCTCATTTATATTATATATTCTTAGCTTCAGAATAATTTGATTTGTATTAATATACGTATCATATTATATGATTTATATTATTCTGAAGATAAGAAGTAGATTCTTTAAGAACGCCATTTTTTATTTAGCTAACTGTACTTGCAGCCATTTGAGAGCATTGGTCACCAAACCCCGTAGCAACAAATGTAGCCAAATGTAATGAGGTGATATAGTGTCCATTGTTTTTTTAGGGACTTTTGCTCTCAACTTTGTAATCAGTGTTGAAACTGTCTTTCTTCCCCACTATGGAGATTGCATTGCAATTCAGTTTGGGATAAAGTGAATGTATTATCTGAAGATTTAGTTTTGTTACTTGGAGGTTAACCTGTTTGATTTTTATTATCTATTTATAAAGGATCTAACACTCACTTCAGAGTTGTGAATTGCAAGTGTGAATTTTGAAAAGTAGGGTACTTGACTTTTTGGATGGTAACAGTGGGAAAGGGGTGTTGGTACACAGTCTCCTCGTCTCTCCTCACTGCTGTTAATGCAAGCCATCTGCTAGCTGTTGCATATTTCTCCTTGTGCTGAATTCCTACTGCCCATTCTTGGATAAATCCATATGCTGGGCTTGCCCACTCACATGAGCCTGTCTGTTTCTGTAACCATAAACTATCAACTCTCAGGCTCAAATATAAAACATACTCATTTTTTTAATAAAGGAGAATTAAAGGAAAATTATATTTTTCTTCTTGTTTGCTTTCATGATACTTTTATTCCCTTCATTAACTGAAACTTATCAGATGAAGTCACATAAATGTTATTGCATTTAAAAATTCTCCTAAGCTATTTTGAGTGACTTTGAATATAGTTCCTTTACTTTAAAGCAGCGGTTAGCAAACATTTTTGGTAAAGGGCCACATAGTAAATAATTCAGGATTTGCAGAACGTCGTGTCTCTGTCTCAACTATTCATCATTGCTGTTGTAGCACAAATCCAGTCAGAGACAACATGCAAACAAATGAAACTGGCTCTAGTCCAATAAGATTTTATTTAGGATCACTAAATTGTGAATTTTATAAAGTTTTCACAAGGCACAAAATATTCTTCACCTTTTTTTCAACCATTTACACATGTAAAACCCATTCTTAGCCTACAGGCCATACAAAGCATGCAATGGTCACATTCATCCTTGCGGGCCATAGTTTGCAAACCCTTGCTCTAAGCTATAGTGTTTGAAACTCTAGATCATTTTTCTCTTCCAACAAAAATTATACAGGCACTTGTAATCTACATTGTCTACATAAAAACAAAACAAAAAAAATCTAATCATCACCACAATACCTGTTTCTAACAGAGAATATGGTAACTTTTTCCCTATAAATATTTATATGCTTACATCTTTGAAAACATATTATCATTCTATGCATGTTGAAGCTTTTTGCTGAAGCTCCTTAATAAACCAATAAATCTTACTGCTTTGCTTGAACCTTTTGAGTATGTTTCTCCTTTAGGTAATAAGAATCAATTCTGCATTGTGATCAATGCAAGGAACATATTACCTGCATGTGGATGTCCAACTGACTTCAAAGTATCCTTGGATTAAATCCATGGGGTGCAAAACCAGAAGAGAATTAGAACTGTCCATGATGACTCCAAACAATCACATAGCTACTGTACACCCAGTTTAAAAAGTCAGATTTAGAAAATAAATTAGAAATTAAACTTTCCGCTACCAAGGTATTATGGCAATATTTTTCTTTGCAAGCATGAGAATTGTACAATCGCCTTGTCTCAAGGTATCCATTTGCCTCTCTGAATGACTGACAGGAGATTATTATTTGTATCTTTGTCATTACTAAATAAATTGCACCTTTGGAAATTAGTGCTTACCTCAATGAACTGTGCCACAAGGAAACCTATAAATAAATTAAATAGCTGAAGGTACTTATAAAAGCAGTATGAAGAGATAATTCTCTTTTCCAAATTTTAATAGTGCATACAATCTTTCCCCCTAAAATATCTGATCTCTTTTTATTCATATTTCCTATTATCACTGAGAGCAAAGTAGCATTCTAACCATTCAGTGGTAGATAACTATCCCTAAGAACTTAACTCTCATCAAGATAGAACCACCCTTCAATGTTAGAAGTTCCAGTCTTCCCAGCATGCAACATGTGAAGGTTACCTGTTTCCAAGCAATACCAGCAGGATTAGTTACAGACCAATTGCATAGGCAGAAAATAAGAACAAAAGGCTTACTGAAATATTTAAAAGAAGGGAAAGAGAAAAGAGAACACTTTTCTTTACTGACTGCTTTAGTCACTGGATGCCCTAAATATGCCACACTCTTTCTTATCCTGTATTTACTTTTGCTGCTTACTGAGCTAAGAATGTCTTCTCCCTGTATCCAAATGCTGAACCTCTGTTGCATGCTCAAGAGTCCAGATGGACTTTGCTGGTCTTCCCAAGCAGTAAAGCACTCCTTCCTCTGATTTCCCACACTGCCATGTACATAGCAAATGCAAAAGTCCTTAACCTATTCCATGGTTGTTATTAATATTGTATGTATTGGACTCAAAGCTTATTTCAGACTGGAATTATTTCCTTTATATATTGGTATCCATCCATGTCATCTAGAACAGTGTCTATCAATAAATGTTGAGTGAATGGGGAAGAATGAAATTTATCAAGCAAAGGAACAAGAGGAATCTATCAGAGTTCCACCCATTACTATAGATGACACTCTGTATAGTTTCTAATTTCCAAGTCTTCATCTGGCAAAGGACAGCTAGGATAGTTCACTGGGGGAGAAAGGAGGTAATTTCAGTAGTTAAGGCGAGATTCACATTAAAAATAGCAATGATTGTATTAGAAACATTAATGAAAGAACAGTAACGGTTACCATTTATTGTCTGTTTCTCTGCTAAGCATTGCGTGTATTTTGCCTTTTTTATCAGCATTTTTATGCAAATGACAGATCTGTACAGAATGTATATATGCTGTAGCACTAGATAGCTTTATTCTCTCCTCCCCCATCTCACCAGATTACTGCCCAGCTAATAGCAGCAAAGAGGTCCTATCCAAACATTCCCCTGATAAGAGAGTTTTCGTTCTGTGCAAGTTTTTCACTCTATTCAGCCTGACGCTAGTTTGTCAGGAAGATGAGAGTACAGCAGTAGGTATAATTGTTAGAACAGAATTCATTTCAAATTACTCATCCTCCACAAGTACGTTAGGGAGAAAAAAGACAAAAAGCTACGCAGAAAGAGGAAGAAGTACAGTTATCAATGATGATTCCTTTCAGTATGATATTGAGCACTGGCTTATCTTTTGCTCTTCTGTAAATTGCATTTGTGAAAGCCTGAGAATCTTGTTACATTTGAGTTAAGTTATATAAGCATGTCTTATACAAGTTAATGAGAATGACATGAAAGGAAAATAAATCTCTTTTTCAATGAAAATGGTTATAAATATGTCAGCAGATTTAATATTTTAAATGATTAAATAATGTTTTCATTTGAAAATAATGTTCAATTTTTAGTTAGCTTTAACAAGGTCATTAAAGAATCTTATACTGTATCATATTTAGTATTAAATTATAAAATAACCCTGGATCACATATTGGTATAAAAAATTACATGTAGAAAACACATTTTTAGTGATATTCTCACATTCTTTCATAATAACCTGTTATGCATTACAAAAACATAAACTCCAACAAAAGTACCTTTGATGAATGTAAAAATTGAGAATATCTGAAATGTACACTCTATGTTTCATAACTCAAATTTAGTATATCTCCCCTAAACATTTTGTTGTCAAGAATTTTTGTTTTAAAAGTATATTTTAGGTTAATCTATTTATGACTTGATGTGAAGCCAAGTGAATAATTATATACATGAAAAGTATAAAATAATTATAAATAAGTTTGGAAATTTGTTCCCAGTTCATTAGCTTCAGCACATTTATCATTGTACAATTTAATTCCAACAACTGTTACATGTAAACCATTTTGTCCAGTTAATCTCTATTTTAAAAGTACATTCAGCCGGGCATGGTGGCTCACGCCTGTAATCCCAGCACTTTGGGTGGCCGAAGTGGATGGATCACCTGAAGTCAGGAGTTTGAGACCAGCCTGACCAACATGTGAAACCTCATCTCTACTAAGAATACGACCATTAGCGGGGTGTGGTGGTGGGTGACTGTAATTCCAGCTACTTGGGAGGCTGAGGCAGGAGAATCACTTGAACCCAGGAGGCACAGGTTGCAGTGAGCCGAGATTGCACCACTGCACTCCAGCCTGGGCCACAGAGCGAGACTCCATCTCAAAATAGATACATGAATAAATAAATAAATACATAAAAGTACATTTAAAAAAAGGCCTGTATAGCCAGCTGTTGCTATTTTATAATATGATGCATTTAATGTATATTAACACCCCTAATGAGAGCAGATGGCAGTTACCCCTTTTAACATGTTTAAAGCATTAATTTTTTCAGTTTAATTTCTGCTGTGTTGAGCACTGGGCATTTTAAAAAGTAACATGTTCAAGTTCAGAATGAATATTTGCAGCAAGATCATTAAGTGAAATTCTGCTGTCATTTTAATTAACTCATTTGGGATGTATCTAAATTCATCATTATTGATGGCTGTTTTTGTAAAAATTCTCTAACAATGCTGTACCTTAAAAAATGAGAAGTGACATAGCATACTATTTAGTAATCATAGAGCTGAAGTATTTTTGACTATATTTTAAAAATGAAGTTGTCCATGCGCCTTAATTAAACTACTAGGTACACATGAAATCTGAGACAGTTCTTAGCTATTTACTTTATTATGATAAAAGACCAAACAATTTCTTTTTCTCAACTCTTGTTTTGATAGAATATCTATCAGTAATTTTAAAAATTGATTTAATGGTCTGCAGAAACTCTTTTAAACATATTTATAACAAAACAGATATTTAACCACCATCATAATTTTAATTCCTGGAAGATATACAAGTGAATGACTAGCATGTATTGAAAATAAAATCTTAAGAATTGTTTTAAATTGAGAAACTCTGTTTTATCTAAATCATTTCAGAGAGATTAATGCCTGTAAACCAGTCTGTAAGATGTCTGTAGAGGATTATCTAATGCTCAAAACGGCCAATTTGAATTCATTTATTTATTTTATATATATATATATTTATTCAATATATATGTATATTGAATATATATAGAACTACAGTGGCCCAGGCATAGTCCCAGGCACTGGAGATATAATGGCGAATAAAACCTATAACATTCCTGCCATCATGTAACTTGAATTTTGGGGAAAGATGAATACAAAACAGATTCACACATATATCAATAACATATTCAGATGATAGTGCTCTGACAATTTCAAAATCAGGATATGAGAGATAGAAAGTCTTAGAGGAATGATTGGTTGTAATTTTTTGAAGATCTTACAAAAGATTGTACCTCTTACACATCTCACAAATATTAATACAAATTTAGCATCTCTTTACAATCTATGAAGAGTCTTTGAGCACTAGCAAAACGTGAAAATTAAGTAGATGAAGACAAGTCGAAAACAAAGTTATTTATTTATTTAGAGAAAATGTTGACGTCTTCTGAAAATAGAGAAATTTGAAGGTTTTAAGAGAAAAAAACAGATTAAATTTTTTTTAAACCTTTACTTGGTCCTTTAAATATGTTGAACAATATCTGAATCCTCAGAAAGTCTTGCTTTTTAGAATAATTTAATGAATAACAATAGTCATTCTGCAATTAGAACATCATGTGTTCCAGAATCTTTGTTAAGCTATGTATAAAGATTGTCTCATTAATTCTTATAATACATTCGTAAGTTAGATATTGTCTCCATTGTATAGAGGATAAATCAAAATTACAAGCAGTTAAGTCACTTTGTCAAAATCACACTGCTTGCAAATATGTGGCAGACCTGAGATTTAAATATCCCCTCATGTGTGATTTCAAATATTATGCTGCACCATCAACCTCGTGCTATTTTATTAGTCCTATTTTTTTTTTACTAATGACTGAGTAAACATTTAATTTTTAAAAGCACTTTTTTTTTTTACCACTACTAGAAAAACTAAAACATTTGAACTCCAACCTAAAGTTCATACATGCTAAAATCAAGCTAGGGAGATTATTGTAAAACTCAAACAAAAATATACAAAAAGAAAATTAAAGAATAAAATCTCTCAAGGAAGTAAAAGGTTAAAAAGAAGAAAACAAAAAAACTAGTGAAAAAGCATTAATACTGGAAGAAGACAGGTCCGAGGAACAAATTCAGATCTTGAAATGACAATGCCTCTAAGACAGAGAAGTGAGCAAGCATTGAAAAATGAACAACAAAGACAAGAAATGGGAATATAGTCAATCAATTTCATATGTATTTAATATAGAATCCATTACTTGTGCATTGAGTACTAATGATAAATACAATTATACATTATGTGTGTATATATATATATACACACACATATAAACATATATATACATACACACAAATACAAATGATTAAAAATATCATTCTGCCTGGCTTCATACTGTAGGAAGCATATGCTGCCCATGTGTCAGGCAAGTGACAGGCCACAATGACAATTCAAGTGGGAACTTGATGAAGTGTCAAGTTCTTTATGAGAAAAAGGTAATGCGGCCTCCAGCCAATGTTCCTCATGTGCTTTCAGCCTATAACTTTTATATTGTACACTGTATACTTTGTCAAAAAGACAGCACAGTATACCAGAAAATGCACTTAACTGAGAGTAAAGAGATCAGACTTCTAGTGCTATACCTGCCCTCATGTAGCTAAAGGTACATGAACAGCTTACTTGATTGTAATATATAAAATGAGAAGGTTAGACTAGGTAATCTTGAGAATGTATGAAAATGTCATGATTAAAATCTATATTTGCATGTGTGTCTCTGTGTGTGCATGCATCTTCAATTCATTGTTTTCTTAAAAAGTGAAAAGAAAAGTCAGATGTGAAACGCAAAGCAATTTTTCTTCCAGTGTGGAGAAGTAAGCTCCTGAACAGAATTATACTTAGTGAATGCACTGAGTTATAATTCTATAGCACCTTGTAAAAGGATTTCATTTAAATCATGATGAAAGCTTATGAGGAATGTTGAAGAAATTAAATGAATATAGACCAGAAACTCCTGAAAAAGCTTATTAAGAGGCAAGGGTGCTGAAGGAAATAGGAATATAATTGAAGAACTCTTAATGTACATTTTATGAGCACATTTGTTCCTGCAGAGGCTCATAAAGCAGAAAAGTAGCCAACAGACTTTCTTTATTTCTGCAAAATGGAAAGGATCCCAATACACATTCGCCTATTACTATCTAATTTAATGACTACTGTGGCAAATGTCATAGAAACAATTTAAAAGGATCAAGGAGCACATTTCACATTTTGATTAAGGCAAATACAAGGTATTTGAGAAAATGCATCCTTTTTATTTGAAAATGCTATTTCTATATTTCTAGCACAAGATAATCAGGTCACATGACCACTCCCAAATGTGTCTTTTACAGTTTCAAGATTTGAGGGAAATGTTGAACATTTAATGATAATAGTCATTAAATGAAATATGCACTTTCAACGTATGCAATGTTAATTTAACCTTAGCTTAGAAAAATGTGGCTTTTTTGAAAAGTATTTTATTTTATATCTGTATATAAGGACATAGCCAAGACTGGGTAATTTATAAAGGAAAGAGGTTTAATTGACTCACAGTTCCACAGCGCTGGGGAGGCCTTGGAAAACTTACAATCATGCCAGAAAGGGAAGCAAACACATTCTTCTTCACATGGCGGAACTCACTATCACAAGAACAGAATGGGGGAAAGCAACCCCATAATTCAATTATCTCCACCTGGTTCCTCCCATGATACTTGGGGATTATGGGAACTACAATTCAAGATGAGATTTGGGTGGAGACACAGCCAAACCTTATCAATATCATAAGGCAGGTGCAGTGGCTCACGCCTGTAATCCAAGCAATTTGGGAGGCCAAGGTGAGATGATTGCCTGAGACCAGGAGTTTGAGAATAGCCTGGGTAACATAGGGAGACCCTGTCTCTACCAAAAATAAAAATAAATCAATAAAAAGTAAGAAAATTATACAGTAACTCCTCACTTAACATCATCAATAGATCCTTGGAAACTGCAACTTTAAGCCAAACAATGTTTAATGAAACCGATGTTCTTATAGGCTAATTGATATAAATGAAGTTCTTAGGGCATATTTTTGGTCACAAAGACATCACCAAACTTCTAACTAGAGACCAAGGTACTTCTAATATTAAACAATGAAATAAATGTGTGCTCTCTCTATATATATTTAAGAAGGATTAGTCAAAACAAGATAAGTATTTACCTGCTTATTCCAGTTCAGGGTTGAGGGTGGCCACAGCCCTTCACACCAGCTTAGGACCCCAGGTGGGATCTTTCCTGTAGGGGCACCCCCCCATCACAGGGCAACTCACACTCACCTTCACCCACCCTCACCCACACTCCCAGCGACCATGTACACATGGCAGTGAGCCTAACAAGCACATCTTTGGGAGGTGGAAGGAATTGGGAGAAAACCTACGCGGATGTGGAGACAACATGTGGACTCCACACAAGGGGCCCAGCCTAGAAGTGATTGTTTTTTCTTTTCTCATCAACATCATAATAAATGGCACTGAACAGTATTATTCGAGGACCTACTGCATAATTTGAAATATTAATATAATATTCCTATAGTTCTCACCAGAGCAAACAGAAGGATATTTCCTATTTGTATTCTTGAAGTTAAAAGACAGGTGAAATATTTATTTCTTTAAATTTATTTATTTTAATCGTACAGCATGGAGATAAAATACAGAAAAAAACTTCTTGTAAGAAGAGGCCTTTTTACAACAGTCTATTAAAAAGACTTAATGATTCCCAATACTAATGAAAGTTGTCATGTAAAAACAAAGACACACAGAAAGGAAACAGAAACTCAAATGATCAATAAACAGCTTAACTTGCATGTACATAAATTTCACTAAATCAAATATAAGTCATGAAGAGATCTACTGACATTGGCAAAAAAACATATTTTAAGCAAAAGAAGAACTTTAGGTTTACAAGAGATATTGCTAATACTTTTATTCTATGTATTCCTTATCAAATTGATTATAGAAACTGTATATTAATTTATATTCATAACAACTTATGACAACCTCAGGAAAGAAACAGCAAAATAAAGAGTTTCTGACTCATTTCTTTCAGCCCAGGCTTTAAAAAAATTGCCTTCAGGTAATTTGGCTATTTGTTACACAAGAAATTTATAATGTGACAGCAAATATGACTAAATAAAGATCTAACAGGAGTGGAATTTATCCTTCTATTCAAATTAAAAATAAATGCCCAGATGGTTATGAATTTTCCAGATAGGCAGTATTGGTTCCATTTTTATCCCTTTTACTGATGTCTCTCATCTAAGAAGAGCTCACAGGGCAAGTGTTAACAAAAGAGACATCTGAGCGAACTTCACCTGGGAGAATTCCCTTTCCTGAATAAACCCATGAACCTAAAAGGCATCAACTGGGGTAGGCTGAATAATGGCCTTTCAAAAATGTCCACATTCTCATCTATGGAACCTGAGAACATGTTACCCAATATGGCAGAAGGAATTTTGCAGGTCTAATTAGATTACGGATCTTCAGATGGGGATATTATCTTGGATTTTCTGGACAGGAATGGTGTAATCACAAGTCTTTATAAGAGGCAAGCAGGGGGTTAAGAGTCAGAAAAGAAGATATGAAGATGGAAGCAGAGACAGAAGAGATGGAGGCCCACCAGCCAAAGGATACGGGCAGATTCTAGAAGCTGGAAAAGGCAAGGAACAGGTTCTCTTTCAGGGCCCCCAAAAGTAAGCTCACTGACCCATTTTGGACTGTGAACTCAGAACTATGAGATAATAAATGTGGTTTGTTTTAAGCCGTTATGTTTGTGGTAGTAGGTCACAGCAGCAATAAAAAACTGATACAACTATGTGGCCAACTAAACCAAAAGTGGATAATTTGGATCTTGACTCTTCAGACCCATGTTTACATTTACTCTATACCTAAAACATTTCTGCATGATGATCCATGCCATCAAAGAGAGCTAAATGTTAATAGGTAAATGATAAACAAAATATTATTTTAATTTCATGATTAAAATAACAAATGCCTATTAATTATATCTGTGATTAGAGCCACTTAGCATATCACGTCATGAAAACAGCTGGGAAACAGACTGTCTTTAAAGTCTCCTTTGAATTTTGGGAAAGCCTGTCATAGTGTTTTTTAATTATTTGTCTTTGTTGACTTTAAGAAATTAGTATGGTCACATGTGAATTTTTTTATCCATAAAATCTTGGTGAAAGGTTGTATTTTTAAATGCAATATACAAATTAGCAATTGTTAAGCACTGCTTGTTACTTTCAGCCACTGCCTTAATTATGTTGAAGCACAGGTAGGACAGATATAAATCTTGTGGTAACAAAGATAATTAAGCAAAGCACATATTGTTAAAGATTTAAACAAACAAATAAAATAAAAATATTGGCTGCATGTTAGTATGCTAGATCCTGAACTGAACATAAAAATCAACAAAGGTTTTCTGTTTTTTTAATATACTTTAAGTTTTGGGATGCATGTGCCGAACATGCAGGTTTGTTACATAGGTATACATGTGCCATGGTGGTTTGCCGCACCCATAAAACCATCATATACATTAGGTATTTCTCCTAATGCTATCCCTCTCCCAGGCCCCCACCACCCGACAGGCCCTGGTGTATGATATTCCCCTCTCTCATTGTTCAGCTCCCGCTTATGAATGATAACATGCAGTGTTTGGTTTTCTGTTCCTGTGTTACCTTGCTGAGAATGATGGTTTCCAGCTTCACCCATGTCCCTGCAAAAGACATGAACTCTTTGTTTTTTATGGCTGCATAGTACTCCATGGAGTGTATGTCCCACATTTTCTTTATCCAGTGATTATCCATCATGGATGGGCATTTGGGTGGGTTCCAAGCCTTTGCTATTGTGAATAGTGCTGCAATAAACATACGTGTGCATGTGTCTTTGTAGTAGAATGATTTATTTATTTTTTATTTATTTATTTTTTTGAGATGGAGTCTCACACTGTCACCTGGGCTGGAGTGCAATGGAGCAATCTTGGTTCACTGCAACCTCCGCCTCCTGGGTTCAAGTGATTCTCCTTCCTCGGCCTCCTGAGTAGCTGGGGTTACAGGCACCTGCCACCACGCCCAGCTAATTTTTTGTATTTTTAGTAGAGATGGGTTTTCACTATGTTGGCCAGGCTGGTCTTGAACTCCTGACTTCATGATCCACCCGCCTCAGCCTCCCAAAGTGGATACATTCCATCAATAACTAGTTTATTGAGTGTTTTTAGCATGAAGAGGTGTTGAATTTTATTGAAGGCCTTTTCTGCATCTATTGATATAATCATGCGGGTTTTGTCATTGGTTCTTTTTATGTGATGGATTACGTTTATTGATTTGCGTGTGTTGAACCAGCCTTGCATCCCAGAGATGAAGCCGACTTGATCATGGTGGATAAGCTTTTTAATGTGCTGCTGGATTCGGTTTGCCAGTATTTTAATGAGGATTTTCGCACTGATGTTCATCAGGGACATTGGCCTGAAATTTTCTTTTTTTGTTGTGTCTCTGCCAGGTATTGGTAACAGGATGATGCCGGCCTCATAAAATGACTTAGGGAGGAGTCCCTCTTTTTCTATTGTTTGGAATAGTTTTAGAAGGAATGGTACCAGCTCCTCTTTGCACTTCTGGTAGAATCTGGCTGTGAATCCAACTGGTCCTGGGCATTTTTGGCTGGTAGGCTATTAATCACTGCCTCAATTTCAGAACTTGGTATTGGTGTATTCAGGGATTCGACTTCTTCCTGGTTTAGTCTTGGGAGAGTATATGTGTCCAGGAATGTATCCATTTCTTCCAGATTTTCTAGTTTATTTGTGAGGAGGTGTTTATAGTATTCTCTGATGGTAATTTGTATTTCTGTGGTATCAGTGGAGATATCCCCTTTATCATTTCTCTTGTGTCTATTTGATTCTTCTCTCTTTTCTTCTTTATTAGCCTGGCCAGTGGTCTATGTAATTTGTTAATGTTTAAAAAAAAACCAGCTCCTAGATTCATTAATTTTTTGAAAGGTTTTCATGTCTCTATCTCCTTCAGTTCTGCTCTGATCTTAGTTATTTATTGTCTTCTGCTAGCTTTTGAATTTGTTTGCTCTTGCTTCTCTAGTTCTTTTAATTGTGATGTTAGGGTGTTGATTTTAGATCTTTCCCACTTTCTCCTGTGGATATTTAGTGCTATAAATTTCCCTCTAAACACTCCTTTAGCTGTGACCCAGAGATTCTGGTACATGTGTCTTTGTTCTCATTGGTTTCAAAGAACTTATTTATTTCTTCCTTAATTTTGTTATTTACCCAGTAGTAATTAAGGAGCAGGTTGTTCTGTTTCCATGTAGTTGTGTGGTTTTCAGTGAATTTCTTAATCCTGAGTTCTAATTAGATTGCACTGTGGTCTGAGAGACTGTTTGTTATGATTTCCATTGTTTTGCATTTGCTGAGGAGTATTTTACTTCCAATTACGTGGTCAATTTTAGAATAAGTGCTATGTGGTGCTGAGAAGAATGTATATTCTGTTTATTTGGGGTGGAAAGTTCTGTAGATGTCTGTTAGTTCCACTTGGTTCAGAGCTGATTTCCAGTCCTGAATATCCTTGTTAATTTTCTGTCTCGTTGATCTGTCTAATATTGACAGTGGGGTGTTAAAGTCTCCCACTATCATTGTGTTGGAGTCTAAGTCTCTTTGTATGTCTCTAAGAACTTGCTTTATGAATTTGGGTGCTCCTGTATTGGGTTCTTACATATTTAGGACAGTTAGCTCTTCTTGTTGCATTGATCCCTTGACCATTATGTAATGCCTTTCTTTGACTCTTTTGATCTTTGTTGGTTTAAAATCTCTTTTAGCAGAGACTAGGACTGCAACTCCTGCTTTTTTTTTTGTACTTTCCATTTGCTTGGTAAATCTTCCTCCATCCTTTTATTTTGAGCCTATGTTTGTCTTTGCATGTGAGATGGGTCTCCTGAACACAGCACACTGATGGGTCTTGACTCTTTATCCAATTCACCAGTCTGTGTCTTCTAATTGGGGCTTTTAGCCCATTTACATTTAAGTTTAGTATTGTTATGTGTGAATTTGATCCTGTCATTATGATGCTAGCTGGTTATTTTGCCCATTAGTTGATGCAGTTTCTTCTTAGTATCAATAGTCTTTACATTTTGGTATGTTTTTACAGTGGCTAGTACTGGTTTTTCCTTTCCTTTGCATACTTAGTGCTTCCTTCAGGAGTTCTTTGACATTTGGTGGTGACAAAATGCCTCAGCATTTGCTTGTCTGTAAAGGATTTTATTTCTCTTTCACTTCTGAAGCTTAGTTTGGCTGGATATGAAATTCTGGGTTGAAATTTTTTCCTTTAAGAATGTTGAATGTTGGCCCCCACTCTCTTCTGGCTTGTAAGGTTTCTGCAGAGACATCCACTGTTAGTCTGATGGGCTTCCCTTTGTGGGTAACCCAACCTTTCTCTCTGGATGCCCTTAACATTTTTTCCCTCATTTCAACCTTGGTGAATCTGACGATTATGTGTCTTGGGATTGCTCTTCTCGAGGAGTATCTTTGTGGTGTTCTCTGAATTTCCTGAATTTGAATGTTGGCCTGTCTTGCTAGGTTGGGGAAGTTCTTCTGGATAGTATCGTGAAGTGTATTTTCCAGCTTGGTTCCATTCTCCCTATCACTTTCAGGTACACCAATCAATCGTAGGTTTGTTCTTTTCACATAGTCCTATATTTCTTGGAGACTTTGTTCATTCCTTTTCATTCTTTTTTCTCTAATCTTGTCTTCATGCTTTATTTCATTAAGTTGATCTTCAATCTGTAATATCCTTTCTTCTGCTTGATCGATTCAGCTATTGATACTTGTTTATGCCTCACAAAGTTCTCATGCTGTGTTTCAGCTCCATCAGGTCATTTATGTTCTTCTCTAAACTGGTTACTCTAGTTAGCAGTTCCTGTAACCTTTTATCAAGGTTCTTAGCTTCCTTGCATTGGATTTGAACATGCTCCTTTAACTCAGGGGGGCTTGTTATTACCCACCTGCTGAAGCCTACTTCTGTCAATTCATCAAACTCATTCTCTGTCCAGTTTTGTTCCCTTGCTGGTGAGGAGTTGTGATCCTTTGGAGGAGAAGAGGCATTCTGGTTTTGAAATTTTCAGCATTTTTACACTGGCATTTCCTAATCTTTGTGGATTTATCTACCTTTGGTCTTTAACGTTGGTGACCTTTGGATGGGGTTTTTGCGTGGTTGTCATTTTGTTAATGCTGATGCTATTGCTTTCTATTTGCTAGTTTTCCTTCTGACAGTCAGGCCCTTCTGCTGCAGGTCTGCTGGAGTTTGCTGGAGGTACACTCCAGACCCTGTTTGCCTGTGTATCACCAGCAGAGGCTGTAGAACAGCAAAGATTGCTGCCTGCTCCTTCCTCTGGAAGTTTTGTCCTAGAGGGGCAGCTGCCAGATGCCAGCTGGAGCTCTTCTGTATGAGATGTCTGCCGACCCCTGCAGGGATGTGTCTCCCAGTCAGGAGGCACGGGGATCAGGGACCCACTTGAGGAGGCAATCTGTCCCTTAGCAGAGCTCGAGCACTGTGTTGGGAGATCTGTTGCTCTCTTCAGAGCCATCAGGCAGGAATATTTAAGTCTGCTGAAGCTGAGCCCACAGCCACCCCTACCCCCAAGTGCTCTGTCCCAAGGAGATGGGAGTTTTATCTGTAAGTCCCTGACCAGAGAGGAGGAATCTAGAGAGGTAGTCTGGCTACAGTGGCTTTGCTGAGGTGGGCTCTTCCCAGTTCAAACTTCCCAGCGGCTTTGTTTACACTGTGGGGGGAAAACTGCCTACTCAAGGCTCAGTAATGCTGGATGCTCCTCCCCTCACCAAGCTGGAGCTTCCCAGGTCCACTTCAGGCTGCTGTGCTGGAAGCGAGAATTTCAAGCCAGTGGATTTTTAGCTTGCTGGTCTCCATGGGGGTGGGCTCCATTGAGCAAGACCACTTGGCTCCCTGACTGCAGCCCCCTTTCCCGGGAAATGAACGGTTCTGTCTTGCTGGTGTTCCAGGCACCACTGGGGTTCGGAAAACAACAACAACAACAACAACAAAGAAAAACGCCTGCAGCTAGCTCGGTGTCTGCCCAAACGGCTGCCCAGTTTTGTGCTTAAAACCTGAGGCCCTGGTGGTATAGGCACTCAAGGGAATCTCCTGGTTTGCAGGTTGCGAAGACAGTGGGAAAAGCATTGTATCTGGGCTGGATTGCACTGTTCCTCACTCGCAGCTTCCCTTGGCTAGGGGAGAGAGTTCCCCAACCCCTTGCACTTCCCGGGTGAGGCAACACCCTACCCTGCTTCTGCTTGCCCTCTGTGGGCTGCACCCACTGTCTAAACAATCCCAATGAGATGAGCCGGGTACCTCAGTTGGAAATGCAGAAGTTACCCACCTTCTGCATTGGTCTTGCTGGGAACTGCAGACCAGAGCTGTTCCTATTTGGCCATCTTGCCTGGGAATCCCAAACAAATGTTTTTTAATTGGTGTTCACATGATAGTAGTGGTAGCCCCTGAACAATAAGACAGGACATTTATTAGAGGCACCAATTGCTGGAGCTATTCCAAGGAAGGCTGATGCAGCAGGTAGAATGCAGAAACTGTAGGAACCATTATCATTATAAAGCATGGCATATGAGGAACCACTCCTGTCATAGACTTTTCCCTGACCTAACCAGAAGGGACCTCTCCTGCTTCAGAAGCCCCATCCCAGTGGCCTGTGCGACTCCTAGAACACACTGATGACGTAGGTAGCAATAAGAGGATAAGAGGTTTTGTCTCTTATCTGCCCTCTTCCAATTGTAGGTTCTTAGAGAACAGTGCTTTTGTCTAATGGAAGTTAAATATTCTGCAGGTTAAGAAGCTGCAAATGCATTTGGAGTTTTTTTGTTTTTTTTTTTTTTTTGGTCTGTGTCAATTTCTTCAATATCTGTTTTCATCATTCACCTTTATCATTATAAACTGTAACAAATGTATCTAGCTCTTGTCAGAAGAAAGAATGAGTGTGAAAGATTTAATTATATGTATTAAACCCACGGAAAAGAATAGTTTTCTTGAACTTTGTGACTTTTTTGTGTAAATCTAAGAATCAACAGGAATAAATCCTCCTACTTTTTAGAAATTTGGCATGCGCAAATGATACATGCTTCCACAGACTTATGATTGCTAAATAGTTCAGATTACATGAATTATAATTTTTTCTTTGATTCATTTATAAACTCAATGAAATTATATTATCAATATTATTTTATAAATGTAACTTACATTTTAGAAATATTCTAGATATTTTATTTATCTTCTTAGCTCTAGTAATATCAAATTAGTTCTGGAAAGATTCATTCTTTTTGGATGCTTTGTTTGACCAAATATATATTTATTCTTCAAAAAAAACCCCACACAATTGAAGTAAAATTTGAAAGTATAACTATGTGATATTTAAAGAGGAACAATGAAAACACCGTAGTAGGCTTGCATTAAATAGGCAATCAGCTAATAAATCCATAAATGCTAATAGAGATTGTTAACCTTGAAAAATACTCCCAAACTGCATGTTTTCCCATTTCACTGGGATGCCACATTCTTATTTACAGGGATTAACTAGACTGATTTGTTCTGCTTTCTACACAAGCAGAAAATGTCAGGTTTTCAATTCAACAGAGCACAAATAAATATCAGTTTGCTTGTGTGTGGTTGTGTGTGCATGTGCACACACACACATACACACACCCATATCCAGAGTCGATGGGAGGATTATTATTTTTTTCTAGATGAACTCTGGAAAACAGCCTCAGAATGACTTATTTCTGATGCTAATTGCTGTTCTGCAGATATCATACTCTTCCTGGTCCAGACAGTTATGACAGAAGAGGTGCTACTTCCATAATCAATTTTGGCATGAGAGATGCTGTGCTAGTCGATGATGTGGAAAAATATGGATCAGACATTTCATCCATAATTGATTACAAACCTAATGTATTATTCCAAAAACCACAATTCTAGTCAGAGCCCATTCCTATTACACTATTTTTCCTCTTGCTATTTTGCTTTTTATAGTGTATTTCCATGAATTTCTAAAGTTGGACGATTAAACAAAGACAAAGATCTCTTACAGTAATTAGAGCAAATGAATGCTCTAGAGTCCACTCATTTCCTTGAAATATCAAATTCCATAAAATGCACACCGGTATTTCATTCTGCATTTGAGGATTTTGAACATTAAATAGAAGATCAAGTTTCACACTGAACAACATAAGTGATTATTTTCCCTTTATAAATATGAATACATTAACCTTTGGAGAGTAGTAGATGAGTGAATTATTGCTTTAAAGGTGAAAAATAACAAAGGGTTAAATTAATATGTTTAAGGTTTATATTATATATATATTTCATGTAATATTTAACAGTATTTATTAATACTTTGTAATCATGACCTAAAACATTTTCTTTTCTATTACATAAAACATATAATGTCCCTAATACTTCTAAGCAACCTAAAACTATGTTCCTATGCATAGTAGCCTGCTGTTCTCCCTTTTCATTAACCAAAGGTGGTCAAACCCTTACAAACAACTGACTGTGTGGCAGAAACAGTAAAATTATTCCAAAAATACTTATTGAAAGAACCATTGGTTAACTGACTAAATGAATACTACCTAAATTTGCTTAGTGGCTTAAGTATATACTTCTGCATTTTTCCAAGGAGCTGGCGGGTTTTGTTTATTCAACAAATATTTACTACATATGCCCTACTATTAATGCAATCTGCTAGGGACTGGGAATTAAAGAGTTATCCAAATACACTCATTAATTTGGAGGCTTATAGGGAATTCAGATCAGGACTCTCACAATTCCACCATTACAGAATATAATGTGGAAGAATGAGACTGTTCTGGAAATGAGGCTTTCTGGAGGACGGAACAACTAAATTGATACCTGAATGATGAGCAACTAATGGCCAGTTGAAGAAAACCCTTGTTAGTGGAAGTGAAATCAACTCTCACTGAGGAAATAGCATATGCAAATATCTAAAGTGGGGAGAGAGAGACAGAGAGAGAGGTGGGGGGAGTGATGGAGATGAGAGAAAGATACATTTGTTAGGTGGAAATAAAAGTATATTAGCTTGACCAGAATACACAGTAGACAGGGGATAGTCAAGAAACATAACTCAGACATCAACGTGAACTAGATCTTCACGGGCATGTGAGGCATATTGACAAATTCAGAGTTCTTTCTATTGTCAATGAAGACCAATTGAACATTTTCTATCAGAGGGTGATTAGAGCAATTAGATTTGTACCCTAGCAGTGAAACAAAGGGAATAGAAATAAATTTAGCCCAGATAGTACTAAAATTTCTGCTGAAATCCGGTGCTATCTGATGGCCCTCCAACCAGTTACATGGTTGGCAACTCCGTGAAGAAAAGTCATGACGATAGTTATGTGTAATTAAGACATTAGGACCTTATGTTACAGCATCCCTTTCACTGTTTATTCCCATAAAAATAAAGCACAAATAAATAAACAAAGCCTCCCAGCCTTCTTTCATTCTTAGCTATACTCTTCATCTTTTCTCTCTAATAAGCTATACTCTTTTCATAATTTTAACTTAAAAACAATGCTTTGAGAATTATATTTTATCAAAAGAATATTCAGAAGGCAACTAGTATTTAATATGAAAACCTACATTTTCCACAATAGATGCAATAAGGAAATAGGGATGATAAGATAGACCCTTAAAATTTTATATATTTACAGGTTTGAAGACATTTATGTATAGAAGTGTGTGCATGTGTATTTATCCACATATCAATCTATTCTATCTATCTAATCTTCTAGGCCAGGCCTATAGGAATTTATTGCTTAAAGAACTAAAAATATACATAATTTTACTGTGGAGATTATAAGGATTGGCAATGTAAAATATTAGGCTTTAATTTTATATATTCTCATGGGCTTATTAATATGGTAATTACTAACGTAATAGTAGATAGAACTTGTTTCTAATAACATTTTTGCTATTGACAAAAAATGGGCCTATCTTCAATTTTAAGTATATTTTCGGTCTCTTTGGGGAATAATCAGCTGCTCTCGTGTGTGTGTGTGTGTGTGTGTGTGTGTGTGTGTGCGTGTGTGTGTGTATAAATTCATAAGAAGGAAGAACTGACAGAAGAAAATTGGAGCGAAAGTATCTGAATATGTTATAGTAGTGACAGCCTCTATCAAAGTAGGATTTAAGAGCAGTAAAACAGCTCCTAGGTTGTCCTACTATTATCAATACTACTCAAACGTATAATCAACGACATTTTGCAACAGGGTATATGCCTTTGGCATTGCTAGTTTGCTGTTTGCATTAATATTTTTAAAGGGTCTTGGATGATGATATGGTATGTTTAAAAAACTACAAATAGAAGATATGTCAACAGCTTCAAGTATCATAGCTACTGGGTAGACTACAATAGTGAATACCAACTCTCGAACAACCTTGTCTAATAAATCTTATGAAATGCAGCAGGAATTCACATTTCTATCTGACTATGTCTGCCTCTCCTCCATTTATTTTCTCCTATTTCTGTTTCTGCCTGTCTACTCATTTATGCTTCATAATTTCCAAAAGGACTGGAAGTACTTTATAGAAATACATTTAGTTCAATAAGATAAAGTGTAAATAGAAGAAAATTGACAAGGAGCAGCAGGTGTTTTTTGTTCCAATGGCATCAGCAAACTAATGGTATGAGTTTGAATGTTTGAGTACAGTACCTCTGACAAAAGCCTTCTGATCCAATCACAAATTTAAGAAATTAGTCTTCCCCTTGAGAATTGCATGTTTCAAAGATAAGTAATAAAATCTAGGCCACATATATCAAATTTCCTGACTTTTATTTTACTATTCCACTATTAGCAATTATATACATTTCAAACCTTTATTTTCAAAAGGTGGCATTGATATTCTTCATCTCTAAAATCAACAACTTAGAAAAACTGTTCTCAGTTTTCCAACCAGATGGCATTGCCACTGTCTTCTTAATGAATATAAAAAGGCATAGTGAAGCAGAGTAAAACTGTAAATGTAAACAAAGGGGAAATTTATCATCTTTTTTATCCTCCTCAATAAGTACATGTCAATAACAAATATATTTTCTGATACCTAAAAAAAAACTCAAAGATTTTCATGATGTTAACTAGAGACATTACTGGATTTAATTCTGACCTATTTATGAAAACAAAATAAAATATATATCTTTCCTTTTTCAAAATGTAGAATCAATTATTACACTAAGAAAAAAATAATCGATCTTCTTATTACCTCCAACTCTCCTCGATCACATACCTTCAATGCCTTAGAATAGGCTATTTAACACATTAAATGCTGCCCTCTTATTACATGTACAGAAATGTGTCAGGCAGTATGTGTGATGTAAAGATGCATGTAAAGATCAGCAAAAAGGAATAGTATAAGATGATATTCAGGGAGATCTTCTAAAAGATTATATGAGGTGACCAAATGTATGGTACAGAGAATAATTACTGCTAGAAGAGAAAGAAGGCTTGGAATTACTGCTGGAAGAGAAAGAAGGCTTGGAAAGAAGGCTGGAAGAGAAAGAAGGCTTGGAATAATTACTGCTGGAAGAGAAAGAAGGTCTTAGCTAGGTTCAGAAAAAGAGGGAAAGAAGAAAACACCGAAGAAAAAAGCCTAGAGGAAAATATGATGTAGATTTGACAACCATTGGGAAAATCATATGAAAATTTTATATAGAGGAGAAAAGTTGGGAAAGTGTTAAAATTATGTAAAGGATGAAATAAATATCTGAAAGATAATTTGGATTTCAGAGACAAACTGTAAAGGCAGAAAATACTCAGGAAAAGACTTTCCACAAATGTTGTAAAGAATGTATTCGAATAACCAACACTCACAGAGAAAATATTAGCTTCCTCTACAAGTTTCCTTTATGCTATTCAGTGGCCTTTATTGTCAGGCATTTTTTTTGGAATTTTATACAAAATATTAAAACTTTGCATTGCACACTAAACCACCCTTTTGCTCCTAAAATCATTTAATTTATTTTGCAAATATATGTAAGAAAATGACAGCGATAATTTAGTGAGACGGGAGGATGAATTAATTTCCACTGAGTCACCGTCATTCTTCCGATTAATAAGTGTTAACTGTATAGCTGGACAGCCAATTATCTTCAGTATCTCCACAATCTAGTTCCTAGATGCCAAACAACTGTGACCATGTCATAACTTGCCTTACATAAACATAAAACAACACGTATCGAATGTCTTTTGTGTACTAGGCTAAATGCATTACCTACAAAACTCACTCAAATCTCACAAAACCCTTTGAAGTAGTTTATTATTGATATCTTCATTTTCTAAGAGTAAAGCTAGACCTCAGAGAAGTTAAGTGAATTGTCTAAGTTCACTCAACAGGGAAGGGTGGATCCATGGTTCCCATCTAAGCCAAGTTGCCACTCAACAAGGATGTTATTATAGAGATATTCTGCTTCAGCAGTACTCTAGGCACTACGAAGCTTAAAAAAAAAAAAGAGAGAGGATTTTTTTTCTTGATTAAAACCATCTTTCCTTCCAAAATATCTATTTCAGAATGTAAGCAGTGAAGCATAATTTAATTCTATAAGTTGTTCAACAACCAGTGGGAAATAAATTAAAATAATAAATAAATTAAAATGTTAACTATTCGAATTCACATCATAAATACAAAGACATGTGTGTGTATAATAAGACTACCAAAAGTAGTCTTATTTAGTTATGAAAAGATGCCTTTCATGCGTATAGCTTATAAAAGAATTTGCATTTTAATTGAGTAACAATTGTAGAAAACATTTTCACATGATCAGAGAGAAAACTCTTCATGAAAATCCATTGACCATAGTAGGACACCATTAATTTCTAGCAGCTCCTTAGCTTTTTATCAGGTTTATCTAAAGTCTCAAGTGCCAGACAGCCCTCTGAAGCACTTCAATTCTGGTAATAACAGGTTGTTTCCTCTGGAGTAACAACTTACTAGTCAATCTCGTTTTCAGTATTGTTAATGTAGGTATTTTCATATCACAAAGGTATTACCTCTTATTGCTATCAAACTGAGAAGTGTGATGATGGCTTTTTCCCTAGAAAGTGAAAGTTACATTATTTCATCTCTATTTCCCCCGTTTAATCTGCCTTTTGCATATGGTATTTTGAAAATTCCATCAAATAATTTTTATAGAAATTCCCCTCAGTGTTGCAACAGATACTATTTCAAAACCAAGGATCTAATTAAATGGTCCTAGTGATTTGTAATTTCTCACTGGGGAAATTAATGTCCCTGTTACATGCACATTTAAATGATTTTGTAGATACTGCTATAAAGACATAGCACATAAGCAAAGCTTGTCATTTACTCTGCAATCTAACCTAAGGATACAAACTCTGAGAAAAAAAGTCCTAAGTCCACTGCCTAATTTTTCAAAAGAGATGCACAGACAGCCCCTTAAATGAACTTCAGCTTTGGATATTGTCTAACTTGTCAATCAGAAAAACAGTTCTGCCCCTACTCAATCATTTTACTAAAAATATGCATAGAGACCAGCAACAGATGAAAAGAAAAAATAACTGTGGCTAAAGATACGTTTGTCCACAGTGGTCTGCTGAGGTCAGAATCACACAGCTTCTCTTATTTATGACTATCAGTCTATGTCGCCTCCAGGCACTTCCTAATGAAAATCCTTGCTCCTGGTAACACACTTCAAAGTCAAGCTGCTGGAATGTGCAACTGAAGGAGCAATAAAATATAAATTTATTTAAATGCACAGAGTAAGCAGCGGGTTATCACTGAACACTCTCAACAAAACATTTCAGTTTGTTTTGCTTTTTCTTGAAACACCTAAATGTTAACAGATAATTGGTAGTTTCAATTTTTAGTAGAAACGTAAGGCAATTTTTTTGCTCAAAATATGTTTGAACTCTATGCTTATTTAATATATAGGATGACATATTCTCATAGTTGCAGAATTTCAGTCCTGACTTTTTCTACCATGTCTCTATTGTTTGTTTTACTTTTGTTTTCTAGGTCCCATCTTCTTAGGAAGTTTTAAACAACTGTCAAAAGTATGCACAATCAAAATCAAGAATCAAATCTGAATATCACCGTAACCCATATTTTGCTCAGTTACCATCTTGTCAATTGCTTTTCAGTGATTTTTGCATAAAGGTTTGTTCACTAAACTGATAAAACAAAGTAACGACATCAAAGGAATATTTTTCAAAAACAGGTTTTGGCTACGTTGACTATTTCATGAGTGAATCCTCCCATATAACCTAAGTTAGTATATGAAAATATTTTTGGTGATACATTTTAAGCTGCTAGAAACAGCAGTGTAGTGAGATCTAGGAGTAAATTAATTCAATCAAATCAAGTCAAGTCTATAAGATGACATTACAAATTCCAAAACAATATCAATGCAAATCAGAGGGACAGTGTTTGGGCTAGCCAGTCCCCTATAAAATAGTATTTGAATATAAATTACTTTCAAAAATTGGAAAAGCGATCAGAAATAAATTTGATGCTACTCAATTTAGATAAATGTTGAGAGGAAAAAAAATCACTATGCAAATCCTAAGGGTAAATAAATAGAATGATATGTAGCTTATCACTAAAGAGGTTTGAAGTTAATTCACAGTCTTATATAGGATTTTAAATCCTTTCAACTCACCTTGCTTTTACTCTTGGTCATTTTAGAGAAAAAAAATATACTGTCAAAAATGCATCTATTCACATCAGGCCTAACTCAGAGAGGCAAAAGTGTGTTGTCTAATAGAATCAGTTTTGAAACAGCTATCAAATATACATGACTTAATTTTGTCTATAAATCTTTAAAATGTCATATATGGGGAAGTTCCATCATGGACTATATTTAAACTTGTTTTTCAGGTTAAAAAGCAGTCATTTACCTCATGTCACTCAATCCTCTATTTTTTGCAATGTAAGAATGTCAATCTGGGGTCATAAAAATGGTCACGTTCTAAATATGTAATAATTTTCTGCCTCTTAGTTTACTTGCTGTTAGGTTGAATAACAAGAAACTGTCTATATGTAAACTTTTTAGCTTCACAAAACAGCAGTTTTATATGGCTCAACATAATATATCAGCTCCCAAAAATCTTAATCAGAATCTTCCTTAGAGATTCAAGTTTGGAAACAAAAAGAGAGAGAAGGGAAGATTTTCTTTCCTTTTTTTTTTTTTCCAGTTGCTACATGGCATTTACCATTTGTCCCCAGAGGATGTTTGCCGCAGTGGACTCTACTGCTTTCTAAACAGTGAAAGATACAATCAACATCGCGGCTTAAGAATGGGATTCCTTGAAAAAGATACATTGAAGCCCTAACGCCTGGCACATGTGAATGTGACTTTATTTGGAAACAGGGTCTTTGCAGATGTAATCAAGTTGACGTCATACTGGACTAGAGGCCCCTGATCCAATGTGTGTTGTTATTATAAGAAGAGGAAGCAGAGACAGACACAGAGACACACACAACAGAAAGCCATGTGGAAATGGAGGCAGAGCCTGGAGTGCTTTATCCACAAACTAAGGAACTGCCAAGAATTGCTGGAGAACACTAGAAGCTGGAAGAGAAGCATAGATTCTCTCTCTGAGCCCCCAAGAAATAATTAATCCGCATGAAACCTTAAGTGTAGTCTTTGTTCTCAAGAACTGTGGGAGAATACATGTCTGTTATTTTAAGCTGACAAATTTGTGTCAATTTGTCCTGGTAGTCTGAGGGAACTAAGGATTCCTTTATGGGAGGTTCCCAAAATTTCCCTTGCAATACTGCCTCTCACCCACCTAAAGCTGCAATAACAGGGCAGCACCATCATGTGATTATGTCAGATTGGATTTTCTGGAGCCCTCAGTCTATGGAAGCCATGCCACACTTCATCAGGTAAATGATGCTCTTCTCTTCATGTTTTATTATGGGATGAGCACCAAAGAAATATTACCCCAAAGGTCTCACAGTGCATCAGTGAAATGAACTCTTCCATGTTTGTTCTTTCATTTTTCCTTGCAGTTCACTCTTTCCTGAGAAATGGGATGAGCTGGTGGTTGAGCTGAGCAATAGTCACCATATCATCGGCAGAACTTGCCCTTCCAAGTCTCTCTGTGTTTCTCTTGCTCACAAACCAGCATTTATTTCACACAAAAAAAATCATGAGAATAAAAGAGTCCAGGGCTGAGTCTGAGAGCATGGTGGGGGTGTAGATAAAGAGTTGTCTTCCAGAAATAGGTGTACATCTGAATCCTGCAGTAAATACAGCATAAGCTCACATTATAAATAAACCATCTCTAGCAGGATCTGCTAACCTTTTTGTTCATAAATTGTCTTAAGTTCTTCAAGATCTGCTGCGTATCAATGTAGAACTAGGAGAAAATTCAGGCATTTGTTAGGTGGATGTTGGGTATACAAAAATGGGAGAAGAGACCAGGCATTGTGGCTCACTCCTGTAATGCTAGCATGCTGGGAGGCCAAGGTGGGTGGATTACTTGAGGTCAGGAGTTCAAGACCAGCCTGGCCAACAATGGTGAAACTCCATCTCTAATAAAAATACAAAAATTAGCCAAGTGTGTTGGCGTGCACCTGTAGTCCCAGCTACTGGGGAGGCTGAGGCAAGAGAATCGCTTGAACCCGGGAGGTGGAGGTTGAAGTGAGCTGAGATCGTTCCACTACACTACAGGCTGGGCAACAGAACGAGACTCTATCTCGAAAAACACAAACCACAAAAAAAAAAAGAAGAAAAATGTTTTAGGGGAAACAACCAAGAAAAGAAGATAAATTCTGGATTAAATATACAGGGAATTAGAACTATATTTTGCATGGTCAACTACCAGAGTAAAGGAAGATAATGTGGTTTAGTAGAAAAAGGACATAAGCAGCATGGTTTTGCCTCAGCAAAGCTAACAGGATTCTCATAAAACTGAGAATGCCAAATGTACACTAAAATTCAGAAGTTCACAAAGAATGAATACAACTTTAAAAAGTACTTCTCATGTAATAGTGAAAGGTTTTATAATTATATTAAAGATGCTGTGCAACCTTTTGAAGTTTGTGGAAATAAAAGTATGCTGAGAGTCACAAAGAAGTAACTCAGAGAATAAATGAATTTTTTTTAATTATTGTTATTTTTTTAGAAGGAGTCTCACTCTGTCACTGAGGCTGGAGTGTAGTGGCGACATCTCAGCTCACTGCAACCTCTGCCTCTGGGGTTCCAGCAATTCTCCTGCCTCGGCCTCCGGAGTAGCTGGGATTACAGGCGTGAGCCACCACACCTGGCTAATTTTTGTATTTTTGGTAGAGACGGGATTTCACTTTGTTGGCCAGGCTGGTCACAAACAAGTGATCCACCCGCCTCGGCCTCCCAAAGTGCCGGGATTACGAAAATAATATGAGGATATTTTCACCGCCATGTGGTCAGATTTGGAAATGCTAGGTATGCATATGGACAGCCCTCAGGACGTTCCAAGGAATTAAAAGACATCAAGATACATCAGTACGCCTAGGTAAGTGTAATCTGGGAATCAGGAAGGAAGTAGAGCAAAGTCTTGCAAACGAGAATTGCTACTGAGACCCAGCTTGAACATGTGTGTACCTGGGCTGCACTAAGTTTAAGAAATTGGCATGGAAAGCCTTTCTAGGGAACCATTCCACACTGACTACCCTGCATTATTGTGAGGCCCAGGTTCACCTTGCTTATTTGTATGATCCCCCTGCTTTGTCTCTGGGAATTAAGTTTTTTTTTGTTTTGTTTTTGTTTTTGTTTTTGTTTTCTGAGACCGGGTCTGGCTCTGTTGCCCAGGCTGGAGTGCAATGGCGTGATCTCGGCTCACTGCAGCCACAAACTCCTGGGCTCAAGCCAGCCTCCCACCTCATTCTCCTGAGTAGCAGGGACTACAGGTGCGTGCCATCATGCTCAGTTGAATTTTCATATTTTTTGTAGAGATGGGGTTTCGCCATGTTGCCCAGGATAGTCTGGAACTCCTGGGCTCAAATGATCAGCCCACCTCAGCCTCCCAAAGTGGTGGGATTACAGGCGAGAGCCACTGTGCCCTGCCTCTGGGCATTAACTTTTGAGACCCATGACCAGATGGAAAACACTGCTCATTGGGAAAATGGGTGCTGTACTGGCAAAGAGGTGGCCTGTTGATGCTTACCTACCAGCTATGCAAGAAAGTCGAGTTTATTAGAAAGCACACACTTATTAATTAAAAAAAACTTGCTGGAGAAAAAAATGGTTATGTTAAAGAGAAACGATCATAATAATGGGGCTGCAGGGAACCTATTTGAATCATTTTTAAGAAGATAATAAGTATATAGATTAATAGAATGTAGAGGTTATATTTTACGTAAATATTTTGCACATCCTTAAGTTCTCTGCCAACGACTGTTTAATAAATGCAATCACTAAGGGCGTTAGCAGGAGAGGAACTTCTTTTATCATAAGTGAAAACAATTCAAGGTAATAAAGAATAAGGCTCTATGGCCATTTCTCTGCCTAAAAATATAAGAAATAAACAGCATTGATATAAAAACCATTAGACTAATTAAATATGAGTATAAGGTAAACATTTTTACTCTTTATCATAAATATGGCCTTATCTAAGAGGAATTAGGTCTGAGTAGCAGTTTAAAAGCTAAGGAGTCTTAGCTTTTTCTTTAATGAGGTTTATCCTCTCTAAGACAATCCTGCCTGTGAGGCCACCACTACCAGACTTAATTAGGCCTTCTGGCCATCATAACGTTGAGCAAGAAAAGGCAACAGTTTATTGCACTTTCTAATGAACACTTCATTTCATAATTTTAATTTATTTGGATACATTAGACATAACTATATTTAGACAACAAATGTATTTGTTCCCACAGCAAAATAGTAAGCAAATTATCCCACTTTGTCACTTGTACATCCCGTTTATCTAATTCTGAGTAGCTTTTACTTAGAGATATTAAACAATGGGATCACTGAGATTTTCTTGGGCACAGCATACTACAACACTGGAAAGAACTGTTCATTTACAGCCACCATGTGAAAACAATTCTGTGTCCTCCAAAACAGAGGAGCTGGGAGGATACTGAGCTTCTGTTCACTAAGGTGCAAAACCTGTTTTGCAGCTTTTCAAATGCAGAAGAAATGCATAAAACATGTCCTGTGACTACAGACCGTAATTAGCTTGGTACCTAGGCTGTCAGTCTTAATAAGTACATAAATAAGTAACATTTATATTAGTATTTTATGGCTATTTCCAAAAAAAGAAAATTAAAAAGAACTTCTCTTTATGTTGATTTCCCACGTTTATTTATCTGATGTTATGTGAATGCCTAGAATATACCAACAGGTGAAAGCGGCCTATTAAAGTGCAGTATCATGTTGTATTGTGAAATATTTTTCAAAAGATCTTAAGAAGTAGTTTCCTTATTGTCAGCCGTATAAGACATAAAAGACAAAAGCCAAAAGCCTTATTGTCAGGCTTATAAGACAAATTTAAAAAGAAATGGATTCTGTATTTGAATGTGTAGAGAAAATCCTTTCTTCTACTGGGCAATTTCAGTTCTAAAAATAGTAAATTCTGAGAAACATTCATGGCATTGTTCAAAATTTAACAAGATGATTGTTCATTATCAAAGTATTGATGACAATACAGAAAAATGGAAAGCAACTTAAAAGTTAAACAGCAGAAAATTGGTTAAATATGTTATGGTATATTCATATTATAAGGCAATATTATGTAGCTATTGAAAATAGGTAAATACAGATTAAACCAAAAGAGTAGATTAAAATCTAAATATACAGAATAACCTAAGAACCACCACCAAAAGAAGCCAGAAAAAACTTTTATTCATACACAAACAAAATACCATAAGAGTATTCACCAAAATGTAAGTAGTGTTTAGTCCTAGATGTTGAGGTCGTGTATCAATTGCTTTTAATTTTATTTTTTTCTTACACTATGCCTTTCCTATGTTTTAAAGTTAAAACAATAGGGCTCTGGTAATAAAGCAATAAGATTATTCTAATTTTGAAAGAGGAATAAAGAGGACTGATACATACAATTCCTAACTCTCCTTTTATCAATATGTATAGGATCACAAAAGATCATAAAGGACTGTTTCCAAAGCTTAATTCCCTCAGGTTCTCCTAAAACTCACAATACTACATAGAAAATTGAGACCTCACACATAGATAAATATTATCTATTTAATCTCGCTTAAGTAAAAAAGGAAAAGAAAAAGTGTTAGTCATAGTTTAGTTCAAGCAATGAAAGCTGAGCTACATTTAGCAAAATACATCGCCTAGAAGGAAAGTATGAGCTGCAAATCTAAAACGAAAATCACATCAGTATGGTTTATAGGAAGAGATATATGGCTAAAAGTAGAAAAATTCCTAAGTGAAGGGTATACAGCAAAGCATACCACATAACAAGAAATGCTTAACATAAACTCAGAAACAACTTTAAAAAAATTCCCCAACAGCAGATTTATGACAAACACAAAATGAAAAGGAAACGTAATGTAGTCGGAAATGTTTTAAAGGATAATGTATGCTGTCAGTTGCCACACTTGGTTTTTATCTGGTCATTGAAAATGTCTTCATGTAGTGTTTTCTAACAATGATATGTTGAAAATGTTGCTCTGAAATGTTTTTTTTTAAATCTATACTTTTTTCTCCTCCTCCTGTTTTGGCCATGGATATAACACCTAATTCAAACAGCCACAGCATGATGGCTCTGGATTTTGTCTTTTTAATGATCAGTTTAGATTGTTCCATGCTCAATTTAACCGTAATAAACCAATCCATCAAATCCTACCTACTCAGTCGCTATGCTCAGACAGGTGATTTAAGTAAAATCAAGTAGTATCTCAGGAGCAGTTACCTTCCAATATTTGAATAACATGGCAGCAGGTCTAGTTCCTAGCCTAGTCACCTACATGGTGACATTTAAAACACATTCAAAAATGTTTCTCCCTGCTAATGTGAGACTGGAATTTTGCTATTTTTCTCAAATATCTTCATTTGTACACCCAATATTGTTGATCTGACATTAACCAACCTAAACTTCACGATTCCTTTCATGTTACATTTTGTTTGATATTTTAAGTCAAACTTGCCTACAACTTCTACCTCCCTCCATGGAGGGTGGTAAATAAAAAATAGATACATGACAATACAGAAATTAATGTATGACAGCTGCAACTCTCCGGGGGGCCACACAGACTGATGGGAGCGACAGATATTTACCAATTAAAATTAAATACAGCAAGTGTTAGGGATGCACATTCTAACAGAAGTGTGTACAAAGTACTCTGAGGAGGAAAAAGGCAAAATGGAGTACAAATTCATCTATCAAGTCTTCCAGGGAACCACAAGAAATGCAACAACAGTGTATGATAAATACTGAGTGAACAAGTGTTAATAAAATCTATGGGAAGCCATTGATTTGGACTGTGCTTCTGTACTACACCCTAACAGACCAACCCAAAATGGAGTCACTCAGGTTAAGGTCCCATGTCACCAAACCAAAACCAAGCTGTTTACTTGTAAGATGTGACCTTCTAAGAAATCAGGGGAGAGGTGAAAGTCAGATTTCCATGTAGGCTGGTTTCATGGAAAAAAAAAAAAGCCAGGAGACTCACAGCAACCAATCTGAAGGGGTCCAGTCAGCCTGAGCTGCTATGGTAAGGGCTTCCTGTGCTGTAACCCATGCAAGGAAAGTAACGTGAAGTAACCTGATACTGACCAGTCCACTTTGTGCACTAGGCTGTTCCCTTGTTCCTGCTCCAGCTGCCTTACACAAACTGACTTTTCTATCAGATGCAGAGGAGCTCCTGTGTACTTTATAGACTGGATGCTGCTCAGTTCATGAATCACTAATAAAAGCTAATTAGATCTTTAAAAACTCAATTTGTTGAAATTTTGTTCTTTGACAGGAGTAAGACCTGCGAGTAAAAGATGAGCAGGAAGCAGTCTTTCAAATAATTGTCTAAGGTCACTCTTCTTGAGCACATCCAAGAAAGGTCCTAAATCTACATCTGGTTATTTTCCTGTATTAGCTTCCCATTTCCTTGTAATTTCAATTTACTAAATGATTCATAATTTATTTTCCTGAGGAAAATAGAATGTGGAAAATGGCCACCTACAGGATGTCAAAAACGCCTAAACTACTAATGAGGTTTCTTTACAATAAGAGTTTTTTAAAAAAATTATATTATCACCAGCATATCTGCAGGAGTTCAAATGTAATACAAATCCAAGATTAAAATATTTAAAATCTTATAAGCAAATAATAAACTCATGGTATTTTACTCTATTCTCAGTTATCAAAAGAAAAATTTATAAAGAGGGTCCTTAACTTACAATGGTTTGACTTATGGTTCTTTGTTTTTTTTTTGACTTTTTGACAATGTGGAAGCTATATGCATTCAGTATCCTCCTTGGTTACAATGAGGTTGCTGAAATGTACTTTTGATTTATGCTATTTTCAACTTATAATGTGTTTATCTGCATGTAATCCTATTGCAAATCCAAGAGCATCTATGATCAATATATATTTCTAACTATAGAAATATATTGACAAAATATTTTTAATATATTGCTCATGTATACAACCTTCAGTTGATAATGATAAGAACATAGCTTAAAAACTCAAGAACTCAAATCCAACATTTTAGCCTTAAATATTATATTTAGATTAAATATTTTCATGTGTAGCAAATAAAGCACTATAAATAACTTCTTCCTTGTTTTGAAATAACAACTTTAATTCTCCTTCAGGAAATATAAAACAAAGCAATAAAAATGATTATAAAATAAATGATGAAGATCACTTAAAGGATAATGGCAAGATCAACTGCAATTTAGGCCATGTTTCAAGGTTCTGAAAAGCTTGATATTTACAAATATTTATCAATCTTTAGTGTCAAATAATGTTGAATAGGTATTGATTATTTACAAGTAATCTATATCCTAATATTAGCTTTGAATTTTGTTTGAATAATATATCTGTGAAATGAAGAATCAATATTTCATTTGTTTAATTTTAAAAAGCAGTTTGAAAGATAAGGATTCTTCTCTAATCCTAAGCATAGGGCCATAGTTTTAGCTATGGACAACAGGATGAAAATGGAGGAAGCAATATCTGTGAGAAACAAATGAGTTTTCCAGTCTAAAATTTTGGAGTGTAAATTCAAAACGGAAAACAATTTAACGTCATACATAATTGTCCTGAGTTTCCTAACTTTTGGAGTATCAGGAATGCCTCACTCCTATTCCAGAAGCTACCACTCCATTGAAGTCCTAAGAACTCTCTCTCACTTACCTGCCTATGATTTCTTTTCTTTAGCAGAGAATTCCCTAAAATAGTGGAAAAAGGTTTCTGAAAAGTAAGTACCCTGTCATGTGTTAGTTTTGATAATGTTTACTGTGGTTATTGAGACACACACAACTGAATAACAAAAGAGCCGTTCTAAAAGTCATCGCTTATGCTTTGACTTGGCATTCAGTGCATCCAAAACCATTCAACAAAAATATTTGTATAGCCTCATCCTCCTCTGCAGATCCATACCTGCCTACTGAACTATTCAGGTAGGGGCCATGTATAATTTGTACTTCCCAACCTCTTTGTTCCTGCTATTCTCATAGTTTGCAATGTCTTTCGGCTTTGCCCTTTCTTTCCTTCCTGACTTTGTCTTTTTTTTTTTTTTTTTTTTTTTTTTTTTGAGACAGAGTCTCACTCTGTTGCCCAGGCTGGAGTGCAGTGGCACAATCTTGGCTCACTGCAACCTCCCACCTCAATGGGCTCAAGCAATCCTCCCACCTCAGCCCCCCGAGCAGCTGGGACTACAGGCATGCGCCACCATGCCCGGCTAATTTTTGTGTTTTTTGGTAGAGAAGGGGTTTCACTATGTTGGCCAGACTGGTCTCAAGCACCTGACCTCAAGTGATCCACCTGCCACGGACTCCCAAAGTGCTGGGATTACAGGAGTGAGCCACTCTGCCCAGCCATAACTGTCTTAGCTATGGAAGTTCTATTCATACGTCAAAGTCAGGCTTGAAAGATTGCTTTCTTTCTCTAGAACTTTCCTCAGCCTCTTGTTTTTCAGACCAAGTTAACTGCCCCCATATCAGTGTTTCCATAGCATTTTTCTCATTTCTTATGGCATTTGCTGTACCTATACTTTATTTTTTTCTCTTTATTCTTGTCTTTCCTACTTGATCGCTAAAACCTTGAAGGCAGGATGATTTTAATATCTACATACACCTTACTGAACACCTTTAATATAATAAGCTATGATATCTGGCAAGTTATTTAGCCTTTTTGTCTCCTTTTTATACTTAGGAATAGTAAAGATGTCTATCACAAAATATTATTATGAGAATTTATTAAATGAAACGTTGAATATAAGTACAACGCCTGGGAGAGCAAATGCTAAAAAAAAATTAGTTATTAGTTTAAAGTAATGACCATATAATGAATATAAGCTTATTTCATGCATCCTTCAAGAAATCTAGCAAAATGTTTTGCATGTAGTAGGCACTCAAATACCGAATTAAATTGATATCTGCAACTATATTCTCTAAACTCTGAAAGCCAAGAGCAAATTTCTTTCAGCAGCAAAATTATTAGGGAATTCTGAAGTTCAAAAATCCTCTTCCAGGGTTGATATACTTTCATAAATTACCTGTATGAAATGTTAAGTTTCAGTAGCATAAACCCAGTCTCTGCTTGATATTGCCTTTCGTGGATAAATAAGTGAAACTTGGGGCCAGAAATCCCAGTTGGATATAAAAGCAAGGCGTAGGTAGAAAAAACACATAGAAGTTTAATATTATAGATCTTCCATCCTCCTACCGTGCTGGTCATTTCTAACTCCAGGCAGGCAGGATTCTAGTCACTGGAAACAGGAAATCGTCACTGACTAGGCAGCAGGGAGCTGGCAGCCAACTTGCGCCCTCTAAAGGAGAGGGAGCTTCACCACACATTTGTGGGCTGCAGAGAAAACCGTCTCTTCTTTATACATCTGTGGATAATGTCACTATATTTGATTTGGCACAAACACACTGAGAAACAAGTATCTTTGGTTGAATTTAGATGTGAGTCTCAGTTTCATATCTACCTGGCAATAATAAATTCTGATATTTACCTTGTAATGGTGTAGCACGTGATTATATACATTAAACCTTAAAATTATCCATCAGAAAGAAATACTGTAAAATCTGAAGAGGCTATATGTAGGTTTTAATCTTATACGGTCTATTAAAGCAGTCAGAATTTTCAAAGCAGTCAGAATTTTCTTTTTTTGTATATATTTTCAAAGCAGTCAGAATTTTCCAACAGTCAGAATTTTCTTTTTGTACATATTAACAAAGCAGTCAGAATTTTCTTTTTTTGTATATATTTATACATTTAATCTCCTTGCCAACTCTAGCTATTTTCTTTATCTTTGTGTAAAATCAATGGAAATAATAATAGTAGCTAAACAAACTTTGGAAGACTAATACTCATTCTCACAGTGAAGGTATACCTCTTTAGGTGAATTTAAGAGAAGCAGTTTGAATAGTAGCTTTTATGAAGATGGAGAGAAGCAGAAGGCTTCCAGTATATCACAGAGAGACGCAAGAAATATTTTTAAACCTCTTCTTTAATAATTCAAACCTAGCCAAAGAAGGTTGTACTCTCTGTTTCTTTGTGGACTCAGAGGTGTTTGGGCATTGGCGTCAAATTGGTTCTTTCCCAAGAGAAGCTTATGAGTGGGGTAAAAAACAAATGGAATCAAATAGAAGGGAGAAAACTATTCTCTTGCATTTATTATAAAAATAAGTGTAACATTATATAGTATACAATACAAAATGATACAAATGAGTTTTAGCACCTGTTAAAGAAAGTTTATGGGAGGCCATTGTTTTGGACCAGCCTCCTGCCCTAGGCCCCAGCAGACCAGATCAAACTAGAATGGAGTCACATATGCTAAGTGCCACCTACTCAAATTGAATTTTGAAACTGCCCAGTTTTCCAAAAAAAACAGGAAAGTCCAGTTGAACTTTGTTAGCATAATAAGGAAGTCCTCTCTGATTTTAACCCCATAAGAGAAGTCACTTTGAAATGATTCATCTGCTTTTTATTCACCATTTCTGCCTTCTTCAGACCTTTCCTGCCTATGAAACCAATTTCCTCGGCTCAGCTCATCTGAACATTTATTTTATTTTATAAAATGATGTGTTGCCTGATTCTAGAACCTCTGAAAACCATTAGATATTTAAACTAAATTTGCTGTTATTTTGCCTTTGACACATCTTAAATGTTTAAATATCTAGAATGAAAAGTGGTAAAATATTTTTAAATGTAAGTATAATATAAGAATATAAGAATATGTTTAGTAAGATTTTCAAAAGGGGCATTGTGAATATGACAGAGTTCTTGATTTAAACTATGAAGTAGTTTTTTTTTAACAGATTGTACAAGGTAAGACATGTTTTAGAATTGTTATCTTAAAATAACATGTTGGCATCATTATTATCTAGTTTTAATGGGTAAGTTTATGAGTAATATTTTTATGCACTTCTACATTTTCAAAATTTTGACTAGAGCACACTTTGACTTTATAATGAGAAAAGACTTATTAAACAAATAAGGCCAAATGCATGCAATCAATAAACAAAGATTAACAGACAAGTAGTTTCAATTCAGATCTGTGTTTTTATACGTTCTGCTTTAAATGTATAATTTATCTTCCAACTTCTTTCTATAGATCATAATTGCATTGATAGTTGCTGCTGGCATTTTAAATTTAAAGGTCCCATTTTTTTAGAATAAGAGAAACTCCAAACCTCAGCATCACAAAATATAACCATGTAACAAACGTGCACATTAACCCCCTGAATCTAAAATAAAAGTAGAAATTCAAAAACATAAGCTAATTGAATATTAACATTTATCTCTTTTTTTTTGCTTTAAGTTAAAGTTTGAAAAATAGTAAATTTGAAAGCTGACATAATTCAATTACACATGTTTTATATGGCATTCTTTTTAATAAAAGTGATTTCAGGAAAAAAAAAAAAAGAAACTAGACAAGACTCATCAGCAGTAACAGCCTGAATGCAGGAGATTCAGAGTTTTACACTGTCAAACAAGAGGGTCCATGCAAACTATCAGAGGCCAGAAGTATGTGCTCATATGCATTTAGTTTGCAGACACAGAGATATAGAGCCTCTGGAGCATCGAAAAATAAAACATATAATAAAGGTCTATGTCTACCTAATAGTTAATTGCAAAATCCTCTATAACTCTTGAAATCCCACATCACTCTTGAAAATCAGCTACCGTCTAAAGTACCAAAGTTGCAAAGAAGGCAAAGAATAAATTAGTGTCACCTGTTCCATTCCCATCTCTACATGCTCAAATCATGAATCTTCATTTCTTTTCTTTTCTTTCTTTCTTTCTTTTTTTTTTTTTTTTTTTGATAGGGTCTCACTCTGTCACCCAGGCTGGAGTTTGGTGGTGCAGCCACAGCTCTTCATGCAGCCTTGACGTCCCATGCTCAGATGATTCCCCTACCTCAGTCTTCCAAGTAGCTGAGACTACAGGTGCGTGCCACCGTGCCAGGCAATTTTTTGTTTGTTTGTTTGTTTTTTGATAGAGACAGGGTTTTGCCATGTTGGCCAGAGACAGGGTTTTGCCATGTTGGCCAGGCTGGTCTCAAACTTCTGGGCTCAAGCAATCTGCCCACTTTGACCCCCCAAAATGTTGGGATTATAGGCATGAGCCACTCTGCACCAGGTTCTTCATTTCTAAGAAGCTAAGTGGTTTCTGGCAGAAACAGAATAAAAATGGGCTACCTGGCATGGTGACTGTTCTACACTATCTCATAACTTTCTTCTTCCTTAACGCTATACATTCCACAATTCAGCTGGCTTTCTTTTGCTTATATTTTTCAGTAAACAAAGACAATTTATTACATAATTTGTTTTGAAATTTTGGTTGTGAAAAATGTTTTACATTTGAACGAAGATGTCAAATGACAAGAAAACAAGCTCTTAGCACTTGGGATTCAGCAGTGCTCTGCCCTAGTGTTCAGCGACTTTATGTACTCAGTTATTTACAGATCCAAGTATATGCTCACTTAGTATTAAAAAAATAGAGGAAGAGACAGCCAAATATAGAAGATTCTTTCGCAGCACTATGGTAATTTGACAAATTTTCCACATTAAAATGATAGTTATATTCTAATTTAAGGAGAGTGAAATTGAGACTGAAAACTGGTTCCTTATTTCAGATGCATAGGGCAACATACCTCAAGAAATATGGCTCTGCCTAGTTACACGGAGACGTGTGCTTTAGGAAACAAAGTGCTCAGCCTCGTGTTGCTATAGCTACACTTGTGTACCTGTAAGAATTCTGCAAAAATGAATCCCATTATATTGAAGAACAAAACACCAGAGACATTTCACTTGACAGAAAATTTAAATATATCTCCTTACAGAATATGCATCACTTTTAGTCACTTTGCAGGGGAGTGACCTGCTACTGTAGTAGTTCCATTCATTATATATGCATAAATTTTAAGACTATTGCTATTTGCACAGTACAAAAGAAATATTTGCATGCTGGGACATAATGAGAATCCATCACAATGAAAAGTTTCATAGTTTATGGGAAAATGTTTAGTTTTAATATGCTTGGTTCTTCAATTTGGGAATATGCCAAATTCTTTTGTAAAATCCTGTAAATTAGAAAGATCTTCCCCACTCCCTCATCAAATGCTTCTGGACCATAGGCTTCACCTCTGTTGCTTGTCATGATAAAAAAAAAAAAAGTTGATAGAATAAAAGGGAAATGGAGATTCTTCTTTTTCTACAATAGCAAGGCTTATGAAAAACTAGCATTAGTTCAAGCCAGAACCAAAAATCACAGTTCATTTATAAGCACTAATATTATTTACACTACTATCCTGCTGTTAATCATGTTATAAGGAACAGGCCTATGAGACATGCTGTTTCTACTTTTTTCCATTATCTCATTTTCAATGAATTCCTTTAAACTTTTTCTTCTGATACAGTCTAGAGGCCCCATCATGCTGTCTTTAGGATCATAATCCCTTATGTCTGAGACCTTGGCTTGAAGCCTTGACAATGTTCTTTATCAGTTGTCCAACTCTTCTACTAAATGGTGCTAATCATAGAATCTACACCATGTATTGGTTGTGAGGTTAAATGAGAACTCTTACCCCAGTGCTGAACCCAGTAAGTTCTCTGTGTGAGTTCACTATTATCATTGGTAATTTTGCAGGAGCAAACATAATAGCAATTATAATCACTATGGCACACTGTACTACCAGATAGCTGGTAAGCAGAATAGATAAATCTTATCAATCGCTGTGACTTGAGCTATTAATGGCCCAAAACTTAACTACAGTGCTTTTGTCCCCATACTTCGTGTTAGCATTAACTCTCAAGCAAAGACATTTAGTCATTTAAAAACATGTTTTAAAGACACATACATAGCATATGTTGTTTTAACCTAGAGGTCTTTTCTGTAACATTGATCCTGAGGATGACATTATAGTAATAATTATGCTTGGAAATTCATCCACTTGCAGATGCTTACAACCCTGTACCAGAGTTGAAGTGACAAACCAAAGACAACCTGTGCTCTAACAAACATTCAAGTATTACCTCTATTTAGATCTAAATTTATGTGTACGTCATAGTCATATCTATACCTATATATATAGAATTATAACTTACAGGTAGTATTTGAAAAATTATAATGAATCAATAAATCCTACATTTTTTGCAGATTTGTCATGTTATCTAGACAAAATCCTTCTAAAAACATTAAAGCAAAACCACCTTCTCAGCTGTTACACAACAGAACTACCTCTCCATCCTGTTTGCCAAATAAAATTCTACTTTCTTTCATGTTTACCATTCTATCAGGGACACCCCCAATTCCACTTTGGTCTGTATCAAACGCTTTTAATGCCACATGCCAGCACATAATTTCCACTTATTTTAGTGTTGAGTTTTCCTGCCTTCATTTTATTTTATTTTTTTGAGTTGGAGTCTCGCTCTCTTGCCCAGGATGGAGTGCAACGGCATGATCTCGGCTCACTGCAACCTCCACCTACCAGTTTCATACAGTTCTGATTCTCCCACCTCAGCCTCCCAGGTGGCTGGGACTGCAGGTGTATGCCACCATGCCTGGCTAATATTTTTGTGTCATTAGTAGAGACAGGGTTTCACCATGTTGGCCAGGCTGGTCTCAAACTCCTGACCTCAAGTGATCTGCCCACCTCGGCCTCCCAGAGTGCTGGAATTACAGGCGTGAGCCACTGCACCAGGCCCTGCCTTCATGATTACTTACCTCCCCTTTCATGATGCCCAATCTCAAGAGGTGCCCCTCTGCAAACAGTTATCTGCCTTTGAGACATCACGGCTGTAGACTACTCATCCTCGGCCTCTATTAAATTATCTGGTTATATTTAGTGACAAAAGTGAGACAATTCTTTCCCCTGTTATCAATGCAGCATATCCTGGGAAAACACAGTCATGAGTCAGTCTCTTATATAAATATACTTAAGATTTTTACTATTCTCTAGATTGAAACTCCTCAGTGTTTAATTCATATGCAAATCACATGAGGAAACTGATGAAAGGTAGATTCAGATTCCATAGGCCTGGGGTGGGACTTGAGAATTCAGATGATCCTGATGAGGCTGTTCCAAGGTCTACGCTTTATCAAACCAGGAGCTAAAGTGATCCTAATGCTATCCTTTATTTTGATAACTGTCATTTCATTCTACTTTATTAATGTGAAATTTGGCATATTCCTATATAATTTTTGTCCCATAAATTCTAGCCTTCCATAATTCAATGTTTAATAGGACACAGGCTACTTTCTGGAAGTTTAACATTGTAAACGGCATGCATATCTTCTGGTAGAGACTTTTATGAATCTTTTCCACAATATTTCAAACAGTTATCTAAACGCTGGGCACGCACATACACATAAACAGTGACAGGAGCTGGAGATTTTATTTTTTCTCTCATAATCCTCATCAAAAGGATATTCTAGGACATTATCAGATGACATTGGTAAAATAAAATGATATATGAGAGCATTTTAAATTTATTTTTTATTTTCCATTTTTTGGGAGGGTGTAGGGTAGATGAAGATACAACAAAGTTTCAAGTCTCTCAACTACAGGAGATAGTAACGATGCCTGAAGTCTCTCACTTTATTCATACAAAAACTCTTATATACAATAAGATGAGGTGTTTTTTTGTGGTGGAGTACATTGTTAGTGATGTAATGATTCACGATAATTATTTCCATCATTCTTAGCCAAAGACAGCCTGGGACAAAGTTGGGTTTAAATCTTAAATCTTAGTTCTGCCACTAACTAGCTTTGTGACCTACAGCTCAATCTTAGGAAATGTCTGACACTTAATATTCATTTGATTATTCATTACTAATACTTTTCATACTGGCATATTACAGAGAACTTTGAAATTATAGTTGTGGACATGACCATATGGCAAGAATGAGGTAAGGGTGGATGGCTGTCTTGGAGCACACAAGAGCAGGGATGCTAGGAGGTTTTATAGAGCCTTCAATTTTCCCACTGGTCCCTTCCTTACGTTTCCAAGTTTTTCCTCATGTTATTGATCTAAACCTGCACAGGGATAAAAAAAGTTATAGAACATAACTAAGATCAGTGAAGAAATTAGCTACTAGAAAATAGCGACAAGAATCAGAAGTCCTCAAATTCATAAATTGACAGAAAATTTGATGTCCATAAAGTTTATGTTGACCTAAATAAGGGCAAAAATATATTCTGAATATTCCAGCTAAATGTATCCATCTAATTATTTCTTATATATTCCTAAAAAAGATTTCAGTACCATTGTCTTGAAAATTGTATAAGCAACACACATCCTTACTATCTGCATTTTAAATTGAATTAAATAAAGAATAACCTATTCTACTTAAATTTATAAACAGTGAAAAACAGTGTTAAAATTAAACACAATTTTGAAAAAAACGTACACTGATAAATGGCCAAGGAAATTTTAAACATATATGCATTTAATTGCAGTATAATATTTCCAACTATGAATCAAGTGAATTTCCAGAATTTTCTCAATAATGAAATTTATGGGCTTCAGGTTCATTATTATGATCTTGAGGAAATTTCACAGGACTGCAGTGCCATCATTACACTGTTCCATTACACCTCTTAGAATGCAACCATTTTCATTTAGGGCACAGGTAGATATTGAGTCAAATGTGACGGCACATTTATTTGATGTTATGGAATAGATATAAATATATTATTTACATTTGATTACTTTGCAAACAAACTGTTATTATATAGTTATTTCATGTATTTATTTTTTGGGATTGTCTAATGCGGTTTTAAAATTTCTTCCTGATTTGAGAGATATAACTCACTGTTTATTCTGGAGAATTAAAATATGCAAGTGAATTATTGAGATATATATTTATAATTTAATTTTATTCAACAGTCAAATAATACAAATGTAGAAATATTACTTTCTAAATCTATGGGGATGCATAATGCAAAATTATAAATAACTTAAACCATACTGAATACGTTTGAATAAAATTTTTACTGCTGATTCCTCCTATATTTAATTACTAGTTATATTATGTATTTTTCCTCCAGGTACCAGATACTTTAAATAACAAATGCTATTTTTATGGTGCATTATCATATCATTTAGAATATGAACTGATTATACATACTAACTTGAGTTACACATTATTCTCACCCCTAATGCTGATTTGGATACATTTCTGTACTGGAAAATATAGGAAGGCTGAAGCACCAGCTAACATTTATATGACAACAGAAAAACCCAAATAAAAAACATTTGGATCTGAACTAAAGTGAATGCATCTGATGAAATCTAAATTGCAATGGCATAACATTATCTGGTAATGTTACCATAAAAGAACTGCTGCTAGAATCCAAATTTACCTTACAGATATCACAAAAGTTAAGTGGTGTTACTAAAATTTGATTCTTAGGACGTTTCTATGGGAGGCAAGTGTATTCAAATGTTCTGTGCAATTTGACTCAAGATGTCTTTTTCAGTAATGATCATTTATAAGGCTTGTAATGAAACACAGACAGTGAGAGAACACATGGTTATGTGGGTGTTAGGAGGGTAAACGTAAATTCCCGGCCCTGGAACCAATTTCTTGAAAAAGGCTTCCCTCCATCACCTCATCCTAGTTCAAAACAACTAATTGCACTTCAAAATTTTAAGGAACAAGTTAAATAAGAACAAGGACTGGCATTTCACTATTATGGCCAAGGAGTTAATTATTCCTAATTATATGAAATCATTTCCAAGTATATCGCTTAAAATTCTTGATTTACTAGGGTTGGGAAGTTTGGGGGAGTAACTAGGTGAGGTCTTAGCCACATCTCTGTTGTACCTATGGGCTCATCTTATGCGAGTGCTTTCCTTGCTTGAGACTGTTAACAAGAATAGACTCTAAAGAAATAGCACAGGCTGGACCCGGTGCCTCATGACTATAATCCCAGCACTTTGGGAGGCCAAGGCGGGTGGATCTCGAAGTCAGGAGTTCGAGACCAGCCTGGCCAACATGGTGAAACCCCATCTCTACTAAAAATACAAAAATTAGCCGGGCACAGTGGCAGGTGCCTGTAATCCCAGCACTTTGGGAGGCCAAGGCGGGTGGATCTCAAAGTCAGGAGTTCGAGACCAGCCTGGCCAACATGGTGAAACCCCATCTCTACCAAAAATACAAAAATTAGCCGGGCATGGTGGCAGGTGCCTGTAATCCCAGCACTTTGGGAGGCCAAGGCGGGTGGATCTCGAGGTCAGAAGTTTGAGACCAGCCTGACCAACATGGTGAAACCCCATCTCTACTAAAAATACAAAAATTAGCCGGGCACAGTGGCAGGTGCCTGTAATCCCAGCTACTCGGGAAGCTGAGGCAGGAAAATTGCTTGAACCCGGGAGGCGGAGTTTGAAGTGAGCCAAGATCACGCCACTGCACTCCAGTCTGGGTGATAGAGCAAGACTCCATCTGGGGGAAAAAAAAAAAAAAAAAAAAAAGAGCAGAGAAGCTCTCTGGATTGTGTGGGAGAACAGAACAACACATTTCATTCAGAATGATGTTGGAAAGTAGAAATTGAAATATATATCGGTCCTGGACTTTTTCAGGTGTTCTAAAATTCCTTTGGGCTTTCTGTTTTGTGGAATGATTCTTGGACTCAATTCTCCACATATGTTCCATTTACTGGTCATTAAAAATGATTTGAGATACAGAGCAAGAACAATCAATTAACTACGGGCACAAAACACACAGGGATCTCACAAACAATACTGAGTGAACAGAAGCAAGACTCAAAAAAGTACTAATTGTATGATTCAATTTATATCAGTTCAAAACTGAGGAAACTCATCTATGGTGTTAGAATTGAGGATGGTGGTTACACTTACGAGGGAGTAAGGAGAGAGGGAGGAATAGTAGACGACAGGGACTTTCTCTAGTTTGGATTGAGTTGCAGATTATATGAGTAGGTTTAGTCTGTGAAAACTCTTTGAATTAAACACCCATTATTTGTGAGCAAGTTGTACTTTAATAAAAGTTGATTTAAAATGATTTGAGGCAATCAGAGAGGGAAGATATTTATATGGTCTATAGTGGTATTTACATTGTGTAAATTGTGTGAAATGAGTAATGTCAACCTGTTTACAATGACTAGATTAATTCATTTAGAAATAATAAGGCCGGGCACGGTGGCTCACGCCTGTAATCCCAGCATTTGGGAGGCCGAAGTGGGCAGATCACGAGGTCAGGAAATCGAGACCATCCTGGCTAACACGGCAAAACACTGTCTCTACTAAAAATACAAAAAATTAGCCGGGGGTGGTAGCGGGTGCCTGTAGTCTCAGCTACTCAGGAGGCTGAGGCAGGAGAATGGCGTGAACCCGGGAGGCAGAGCTTGCAGTGAGCCAAGATTGTGCCACTGGACTCCAGCCCGGGTGATAGAGTGAGACGCCATCTCACAAAAAAAAAAAAAAAAGAATAAATAATAATAATAATAATAATAATAATAATAAAATGAGGAAATACACCAATTTTATCTTGGAAGAAATCTGTAATCATAAACCAGGTTCACTGCTGAAATGAAGTACTGTTCTCATAACGATAGATTTCAATTTTGTTTGAAATAAAAAAATGAAAAATGATTTTCAACTTCTGTTTTTTGGTGGTGGTTGTTCGTTTTTTGAGACAGAGTTTCGATCTTATCACCCAGGCTGGAGTGCAATGGCACTATCTCAGCTCACCGCAACCTCTGCCACCTGGGCTCAAGCGATTCTCCTACCTCAGTCCCTCAAGTAGCTGGGATTATAGGCACCCGCCACCACGCCCGGCTAATTTTTGTTTTCTTTTTTTTAGTAGAGAAGAGGTTTCTCTATGTGGGTCAGGCTGGTCTCCAACTCCTAACCTCAGGTGATCCACCCGCCTTGGCCTTCCAAAGTGCTGGGATCACAGGCATGAGCCACAGCTTCCGGCCTAATTTTTTACCTCTGAACACCCTATGGATAATAAAATCCATTTCCTCATTTAAATTATCCGAGTTTATCAATAAATTGCATAAATACTTATAGTCAGGTACGTGTCACATGCTTTGCAAATATCCAATTCTACTTTCAGAAAAAATAAAGAACTTTTAAAATATTCCTATTTGACAAAAAGGAGGAAATGAGACTCAGAAGTTTGAAGTATCTTCTCTGGGATCAAATTACCAGTAAGAATAAGAGCTCTAACATTAATCTTGGATTTTCATTCATGACACCAGCCGTTCTCAACATCTGGTGTAACAGAATGAGACCACTGTGCAGCAGAGGGCTCGTTCAACACAGACTGCGGCAATCCACTCTCGGGTCTTCTGGTTCAGTGGGTGTGGATTGGGGCCCAGGAACATGCATTTCGAACAAGTTCCCAGGTGACACTGCTGGGGCTGGTGGAGACACTTTAGGACCCCTGTGCTACCCCAGGCTGTCTGTGGTTTCTCTCCCTTACTTGACTGTGCCCACCTTGAGGTTTAGAGCCTGGTCCCTTTATTAGGTATCACTCTATTCCCAGAGCCTAACAGAGTGTTTGGGATATAGGAGGCATCCAATAAATACATAGGAATAAGTAGATGATTGAAGAAAGTCTTCTTTTTTTTTTTTCTTTTTTTTTTGAGACAGAGTCGCTCTGTCATACAGGCTGGAGTACAGTGGTATGACACAGCTCACTGTAGCCTCCACCTCCCAGGCTCAAGTGATTCCTCTGCCTCAGCCTCCCGAGTAGCTGGGATTACAGGCATGCACCACCCCCTGCGGCTAATTTTTGTATTTTTAGTAGAGACGGGGTTTTGCCATGTTGGCCAGGCTGATCTCAAATTCCTGACCTCAAGTGATCCACCTGCCTCGGCCTCCCAAAGTGCTGGGATTACAGGCATGATCCACTGTGCCCGGCCTTAAAGAAAGTCTTTACAAGATACTTGGAATGGCTCAGCTCCTCTTTGAATCCAGTTGAACATAAATTGCTGTGATAGAATTCCAGAAGGTGAGGTGAACTTCCTCATTTTACAGATGACGAACTGAGTTCCAGAGACCACAAGTGAACTGCCTGAGGATCAGGAAGCCAAGACCACAACAGCTGCCTGTTAGTATTTTCCTTCTTTAAAAGAATACAGCTTATTAAGCTGTCTAGGGAAACTACGGGAACTTCAGACAATAAACCATTTATCTTAGTGTTTTATCCGTTGTTTCAAACTGAGATGTGGGAAATATAAGAATTCAAATGTGTGTGCTCAACACAGATTTCATGCCTATGATGCACCAGGCACAGTGGAGAGCGTAAGAGATTTGTAAAGCACAGTCCCTTCCATCAAAATCGTACCTTCCAGTTAGGGAGATGAAATTCACACATAAATCCCACGCAGCGATACCAGTCAGCATAAATTGAAAGTAGTGCGGTGCTTGTTATGCATCCGCTAGTGCCGACAGAAGACGAGTGCTCTTTAGAGATGATAAAGCTTCAAGAAGAGGTGGAGTTTGAGCAAGGCCTAAAAAAATGTGAACTGGCAGGAGGAGAGGAGCTTGGAGAGTAAAATAGCTTAAAAGTGCACATCATAGTACATAAAACAGATGTGGAAATGTGCGTATTGAAGTTGGGGATGACGGCATTTGGGAATAAGTGAAATGATAACAGGGTACATTGACAGACTTTCAGAAAAACTTAGAAACCACTGAATATTGTGGAATGACTGCGGTTACTAGGGCAGGGTAGTGACACGGGAAAAGGGAAAGGGAAGCTGAGATTTTCTTCACTCACACCTTACGTGGCTCACTCACCCTTCCACCCGCCCCAGGATCCACTGCAGGCAAAAATATTTCCTGAGAAAATGCATCCCAAGCCTGAGACGCTTCCGCAGTGTTTATCTCAACTTACCTATGGCATGGATGTAATGACAAATAGGACTCTTGGCTCATATAATCTAAGATTTCCAAATTTATTTATCTGCATATGAAGAATGCACAGTTTATTTTGTAGCCACTGCCTGTGTTTCTCTGTTTCTAAGAGGATGACTTCTCTACCCCTTGTTTGGCATGAACCCGTGCCATGCAACCACGCTCTTACCCTATCCTCTACCAACAACCACAATTCTTTCATGTGAACTGCTTTTTTTTTTTTTTTTTCGGTCTAAGACCAAACAACAACAACAATTAAAAAAAATAATCTTTGGTCTGTGGTTAGATTGTAAATCAAAACTGCCATTCCTGAAGTTAAGTGAACCTCAGTGCAAAAGCCTTCCTGAAATTGTTCCCAGAGAAATTCCCTAACTAGCCTTTCATCTGTCTTTTTTGTACATCAACCATATTCAGCCATTTGTGTCTGGAATCCAACTAGCCCATCTGCTCCTGTTTTTAATA